>NC_000015.10:84623096-84774611 GCF_000001405.40 Homo sapiens | reverse complement strand
ATATGTCTTCATGTAATTCCCATTCATGGGGAAATATAAACAGAGCTTTTAACCCATTGACTAATTTTGGACTAGTGATTTATGCTTTCATAAATTACCTAGAATGGTGGTTTCCAACCCATAAGGGAACCCAGCTTCACCTCCAGATATGTGTGCTCAAGGACCAGCCATTAGACACACCACTGCTGAATAAGGACTCATGAAAAATTTATTTTAAAAAGGAAGTCTTCATAATTATATAAATGCTTTGGGACCCAATAATCTAGCAGAAGAATGTTAGGATGTAAGTTTCATGAAGGAAGAGGCTTATCTATTTCATTCATCACTGGATTCCCCATTAGGTACTCAATAAGTATTTGTAGAAGCAATAAAGTAAAACCTTCATTTGCAAATGGCCTTAAAGCTGTTCCTAATCAAAAAGCAAAATTAAAAGACAGGTTCTCATGAGGCTGCATAAATAGGCAAAATTATAGCAAGTGACCATCAGTGAAGGCAAATGTGAAGGAACATTCAGGGAAAAGCAATACCAATTATACTTTTAGAATAATGGATTTTAAGCTACACTGTTCAATCAGCTTAGACTGTTCCCTTAAGATACCACATCGCATGTTTCATCACAAAAGGCCCAGAAAATGCTAGGCATTATCAGAAAGAACACTCTAAGCAAAGCAGAACTTGTGATCCTGCCCTTATTCAAAACCACTGTGTGTCCATAGCTACGTGTGCTGTGCAGTTTTGGTTCCCCATACCTCAAGAAAAACATACCAGAGTTGGAAGAGGTCCTGCGAAATCTCAGAGATTGAAGTTGTAAAGTAAATGAAAGGGCTTTCTAATGAGACCCTAAAAATTAGAGCTCTATTTTTTTTTTTCTGGAGAGATGAAAATTTAGGAGAAAGGGGAAAGTATAACTAACTTATAGGTTTGTTCATCAAACCTCATAATACTAGAGAGAAGAGGGCAGTATTTTGAAGTTTGAAATAAAATATGTACTGGGCTTGGACATTCCCAGGGTGCTCTGTAGATCTTCTCCCCTGGATGGGGACAAGACAGGGCCCCTCTCTGAACTGGCCTTTTTACTAAGAGAATTAAACCCCTGGTGGGGGCCGGGCGCGATGGCTCACGCCTGTAATCCCAGCACTTTGGGAGGTCGAGGCGGGTGGATCACGAGGTCAGGAGATCGAGACCATCCTGGCTAAAATGGTGAAACCCCGTCTCTACTAAAAATACAAAAAATTAGCTGGGCTTGGTGGCGGGCACCTGTAATCCCAGCTACTCGGGAGGCTGAGGCAGGAGAATGGCGTGAACCCGGGAGGCGGAGCTTGCAGTGAGCCGAGATCGCATCACTGCACTCCAGCCTGGCCGACAGAGCGAGACTCCGTCTCAAAAAAAAAAAAAAACCCTGGTGGGTGGTGACTTGTTAAAAAAAGAAATAAAAGATGTAGACAAAAGATGATTTTATCTATTGTCAGAAAATATCCTGAATTATCACTTTAAAAAAATATATAAATGTAGTAACATTCACATATTCAAATCTAAAAATAAAAAAGGCTCTGAGGAACTAAGAACAAGGACTTAACACTGAACCCATGAGGTTTTCCCCCCTGCATAAAGCCTTCAAATTTCAAATAACATTAAACTTTGCCATCTGTTACCTCAGCAATGCTAAGTTCAGTAATAGTAGATTAATAAAAGTTCAGTAACAGGACATTAAGGAGGCAGAGGGACTCCAAAAAGCATTAAGAAAAATTTGATCTCTAGTTAATATATTCTGTTTAATAAGACAAGGAAGCAAATAAAAGCTTGCATATTTATAAAATGAAAGTTAAAGGCAGCATGATTTAAGGAACGCTGAACTGTGAGAGAGAAAAAAAAAAGTTTTCTTGAATTTGCCATTGTTCGTTGTATTAGGACTGGAAGGAAGGAAGGATGGATGTTTCACAACCTGTGGGTGAACTCTCAACCCTGCTCCCCCACATGACTGACTATGGCTTAAATACTGATATCATTTGTGTTGCATTATTGCTTGTAATTAAGAGTTTTTATTTATTTATTTGTTTGCTTTGAGACAGGGTCTCACTCTGTTGCCCAGGCTGGAGTGCAATGGTGTGATCATAGCTCACTTCAGCCTCCACCTCCTGGACTCAAGTGATCCTCTCGCCTCAGGCTCCTGAGTAGCTGGGGATGCAGGTGTGCACCACCACGCCTGGCCAGTTTTTTTATTTTTGTAGAGACAGGGTCTCCCTATGTTATACCAGGAATGGAAGCAGACAAGGGGAAAGTCAGAATGAGCAAACAAGTTCAAGAGTAAGCTGCTGCTCCCAAGACGTGCAGGAGCCTCGCCTGAACTCAAGCAGGAACATTAATCATCGAGACACCACTTCCATGGGTTACGGTAGTGAAGGGAACTTAGTGAAACTTCAGTAGGATCAGAGGAAACAGAAAAAAGAGGCTCATGTTCCTGGACCCAGAACAAAGCCCCAGATTGGGAATGGTATAGCTAAAAGAATAAGGAATTGTGACCACATGGAATTGGCTTTCACTCCTATGGTATCAATAGTTACTTGTGTGAAGACCTTAGGTAGGCATTGGTTTAGTATGTAAAATTAAACTAACTTTAAGGATCTCTGAGTCCTTGAACAGGTTAGGCTGCAACAGCTGGGCAAATTAATCTAGATCTTAGGGATTTCTACATAAAAATTAACTGCTAAAGTGGACAAGCAGACTCCATGGCGTATATATCTCACTGGCCTCTTGAATACACATCTGAGGCCTGCTTATAGGTCTATATCACTCCAAGTCTCAGATGTTCTGAATCAGTCAATGGCCAATGTTTCATTTCATGAGGCACCTGCTATTCAAGCCAGTGGCAAAAAAAATGGCCCAAAGAGATTCTCAGCAGTACGTAAGAAACAGCTGCCCCAGTGGGCTCAGGCAAAAACAAACAAACAAAAAAAACGTTTTTTACTTGTCTTTCCTCCACTTAGTGTAGCCCCTCTAATGCACATGTTGCCATAAAATTTGCTGTGAAACATACATCTGATCACCAAGATGTCCCTTCAGCCTCTCATGGAGGATGCATTCCAATGTGGTCTCTGCCCCTCTCCAGCCACTTGCCAGGATACCTTTCATTCTGACCCCAGTGGTGGTTCTCTCACACTTTCTCGTGCCTCTCTGCCAGGGTTTGAGCTATCCCCCTGACTAGAGAATACCTGATACCCCAACCCACCAGGGCCTCAAACACAAACCTAAGAACTCCTCATCCCCAAGTTTCAGCTCCAGGGTCCCCTTCTGATGCCTTCTCTGAGTACTGCAACTCCAGTGCTCTGCCCTCCTCCTGCTCCACTTTTCTCCTGACACCCAAGCCTCTCTTCCTCTATGGCAGCACTTCTCACAGGGGGCTGGAATCATTCGTTTTCTCATCAGTCCTTCCCATCAGTATGTGAGCCTCTCCTGTGTGGGGGTCATGTCTTTCCCCTCTATTTCCGTGACCTAACACACCTGGCTCCCCATGGCAGGTGAGTTGTCACTGCTCCCACTGCTCCCGGAGCCATTCCTGGATGTCTCTTCAACCCCCTGGCTGATGTACCTGCCCCTGCTTGCCCTGTGCAAGGTGTCCTTCACCCAAAGGCAGCTTCTCCTCTCCCCCTGCCATGCCTTTTCCACGCCAACCAAAGATTTCAAGGACAGAATTATACTGCGAACATTCTAACAAGACTCATAAGATGTTAAAGCTGAAGGGGCCCTTGGAAACTATCTGGTCCAGGGGCTTCCAAATGCCTGTCTGAAGGCCGCTGCTGGACAGACTGCAAAAGAGTAACATGGGGAATGACTTAAAAATACAGATACACAGGCTCCACCATGAAAATTCTGATTCAATATGTCTAGGATGGATTCCTGCTTTTTGGTTGTTTTTTTTTTAAAGCTTCCCAGGTGATTCCACTGCACCGGTCTAGTCCAAACTCTTCATTTTTTATACATGGAGAACTGAGGCTCAGAGAGGGGAACAGTCACCAAATGCTAAGACTTATGACTGGCACTGAGGGCACAAAGCTGAAGGCCCAGACCCTGCTCTTGAGCACCTACACATACATAATCCACTGGAAACATCTGTGGGCACCACTGAGGCTCATCAAGGGCACAGAATTCCTACAGAAGTCACCTCACTCTCCCTTTTGCTCCCTTTTGCTTTATTTATTCTTCCTCACATCATAATTTTCTACCTGTACTGTAGTTTACTGAACATTTCAGTAAAGTGTTCTCTTTCCTGCTATTTTATAAGCCCCTCAGTAGACATTCACTAAATTATTGTTATTTCTAGATTTGGATCTCTACTTGGATATCTAATAGGCACCTCAGATCTACTATGTCTAAAATCTAGCTCTTGATTTCCTCCTACAGCCTTCCGCATTTCAGTAAATGACAATGCCATTCTTCCAGCTGCTTAGGCCTAAACCTCTCTTTCTTTCACACCCTTCATCCAATCCACAAGCACATCCTGTCAACTCAACCTTCAAAATATATTCAAGTCCAGCCATTTCTCACCACCTCTACCATCATCTCTCTCCTGTGTTCCCACAAAAGCCTGCCAACTGATCTTCTTGCTTCCACCCTTGCCTCTACTAGTCATTCCCAACACAGCAGCCAGAGTATTGCTTTTGAAACATACGTTGCCACTGGGCACAGTGGCCCATGCCTGTAGTACCAGCTACTCAGGAGGCTGAGGTAGGAGGATCACTTGAGCCCAGGAATTTGAGGCTGCAGTGAGCCAGGAATGCACCTGAGGATAGCCACTGCACTCCAGCCTAGGCAACACAGTGAGACCCCATCTCAAAAAATAATAAGATAATTTAAAAATCTTAAAGCACACATCACATCATGTCCCTACTCTCTTCAAAACCCTTCAACACCATCCCATCTCCCTCAGAGTGAAATCCCATCTTTCCCACAGCCTCCACAGCCGGGATGATCTCACTGCCCCCATCTCCTATGCCTCTCTCTCACCCAGTCTGTCCAGGCACACAAAGGCCTCCTTACGTTCCTCAGGCATGCTGGTCATGCTCCATTCTGAGCCTCTGCAGTCACCACTCCCTCTGCTTGAAACATTCTCCCACCAGATCTCGGTGGGCTCACTTCCTCACTTCTTCAGGCCTTTAATCCAATGTCACTTTGTCAGGAGCCTTCCATGACCGTTCTACATGAGACACCAATCCCCAACCCAACCATCAATCTTTATCCCTTTACACTGCTTTATTTTCTTCCCAGCACTTATCACCACCTAGCATATATTATGTAATTGTTCATTACCTTCTTGTCTTTCTGTAAATTCCAGTGTGTTTACAGGAAGGTAATCCACCATTAGAAAGAAGGAACAGGCCAGGCACAGTGGCTCATGCCTATAATTCCAGCACTTTGGGAGGCAGAGGTGGGCTGATCACCTGAGGTCAGGAGTTCAAGACCAGCCTCACCAACATGGTGAAACCCTGTCTCTACTAAAAATACAAAAATTAGCCAGGCATGGTGGTGGACACCTGTAATCCCAGCTACTCAGGAGGCTGAGGCAGGAGAATTGCTTGAACTCAGGAAGTGGAGGTTGCAGTGAGCCACGATCGTGCTATTGCACTCCAGTCTGGGCAACAGATGGACACCATGTCTCAAAAAAAAATAAAAGAAAGGAGGAAGAACAATTTGACAAGCTCATTTGTCCAGAATTAAGATTGTTCAAGATAATCACAGATTCCCAAGTGGGCTTATTATGAATCAAACATTTTGCAAATATGCAAATTTTTGTTTCACTTTTTAAAATTTTAGAGAGACCTTCAGTGGTTATGGGACCTCGCCAGTGGGAAGGGGTCTACCTAAAGTACCCTTGTCTATGAATCCTGGATCCCTGTAATGGCTGATTAAATTAAATATTTTATCAGTGGGGGGTGCCTATTGGCCGATGTCCCATAAGGTCATTTGTTTTGAGGATGGGATCAGTGTGACACCAGAGGAAAGAAAAGGCTAGCTCTGAGAACCATAGGGAAGAGGTAGGTACAGGGTGGGAATGAGTCTTAAGAAAAAAAGACACAAAAGGCTGGGCACGGTGGCTCATGCCTGTAATCCCAGCACTTTGGGAAGCTGAGACAGGTGGATGACTTGAGGTCAGGAGTTCAAGACCAGCCTGGTCCACATGATGAAACCTTGTCTCTACTAAAAATACAAAAATTAGCCAGGTGTGGTGGTGCACACCTGTAATCCTAGCTACTTGGGAGGCTAAGGCAGGAGAATCGCTTGAACCCAGGAGGCAGAGGTTGTAGTGAGCTGGGATCGCGCCACTGCACTCCAGTCTCCAGCCTGGGCGACAGAGCACAACTGTCTCAAAAAAAAAAAAAAAAAAAAGAAAGAAAGAAAGAAAGAAAAGGAAAGAAGATAAGAAGATACTGGCTAGGCACTATGGCTCGTGGCTGTAATCCCAAGCGTGAGGCCAAGGCAGGTAGATCATTTGAGGCCAGGAGTTCAATACCAGCTGGGCAACATGGCAAAACCCCATCTCTACAAAAAAAAAAAATTAAAATTAAAATTAAAATTAGCTGGGCGTGGTGGCACATGTCTGTAGTCCCAGCTACTCAAAAGGCTGAGGTGGGAGGATTGCTTGAGCCTGGGAGGTTGAGGCTGCAGTGAGCTGTGATTGCACCATTGCACTCCAGGGTAGGTGACACAGCAAAACCCTGTCTCAAAAAAAAGAAAAGAAAAGAAAAGAAACAAATAAAAAAAAAGAAAATACAAGTCCGTGAACAAACTGAAATACCATTGAATTGTGCACTTTAAATGGGTAAATTGTATGGCATGTGAATTATATCTCAATAAAGCTGCTATATTTTTTAAAAGATAGAAAAAGACAGAACTGGAGGGAGCTGGGATTATACAAGACAATAAAACTGACTGGGACAAGCAGAAACTAGGCATAGGCAGCAAGCACAGTTTACACAGAGCTGACAATTTAGATACAAACTGATACTTTGTAACCCGTACCCCCTTTACCTTTCCTTCTTTGCAAACAGATCTCAGCAATAACCTAGCACCACACTTTGTTAGAAGGAAACAGGACCCAGAGATTTGAGAAAAAGGGGGACAGGACTCCTCTTGTTCACACACCATCCTGGTGTGTTCCTCCCAGTAAACTTTGTAAATGCATCATCTCTTGGTAGTGGGGACCCCTAAATTTAAGCAAGAAGCCAGCAGCCTCAGACCTGCTGGGAACCAAGCCTCAACTTCCGACGCAAAGGACCCTAGAAAACAGTGTTGGCCGGGTACGGTGGCTCACATCTGTAATTCCAGCACTTTCGGAGGCCGAGGCGGGCGGATCGCCTGAGCTCAGGAGTTCGAGACCACCCAGGCAACATGGTGAAACTAAAAATACAAAAAATCTCTACAAAAATACAAAAAAATTACTAAAAATACAAAAAAATTAACCGGGTGTGGTGGTGTACGCCTCTAGTCCCAGCTACTTGGGAGGCTGAGGCAGAAGAATCACTTGAGCCCCAGAGGCGAAGGCTGTAGTGAGCCGAGATCACGCCACTGCATTCCAGCTTGGGCTACGGAATGAGACTCCATCTCGGAAAAACAAAAAGAAAACAGAAAGTGGCCATTTCACAGGATCACTCTTTCTTTGGTGGTTTTGAGGGTGCCACCAGTCTTATCTACCACAGACAACCTACAGTTCCAAAGCTTCCTAAACTGACAGGTCTGGAGGGACACGAGGAGCATGCTATTACTCTTAGAGGCATCCCTATGGTTGCCTTAGATCACCACAGGAGTTTACGAGCTGGTGAGTCAAAGGGCTGGTAAAGTTTCTCTCCCAAGTGTTCTGTTCTTATTCCCCTTTTCTTACACACACACACACACACACACACACACACACACTCTTTCTCATCCTCTCTCCCTCTATTCCTTCCTCCACGGTACACTTTCTCTCCCTCTCTTCTCTTCCCCTGTCCTCTCTCTCTCTGTCTCTCTATCCGCCCCCCAACTCTCCAGCTCCTGCTCTCTCCCTCATGCCTCTCTTCCTCCCTCTTCTCTCCTTCCCCTCTCAACAGAGATCTGGGTGTGCTCTTTCACCATGACTGCTCAGACCTGAGGGAAGCCAGCCTTCAGCAAGAAAGTAGGGCCCCAGCCAAAGCAGCCTTTCACCAACAATCCAGCATGGCAACGGATCCAATATCCAGGTGTTCTGTATGTGCCTATTGTATGTCCCTGGTGATCCAAGGGAATGATAACCTAACATGTCCCTATGTGCCTTCCTATGATTAGACAAATGGACTATTAAGAGCCTTCACATAGTGAAATGTTTACAGATAAAATGATGTGACATTTGGAATTGGCCTCAAAATAACACAGGGCAAGAGGAAGACAGCAAGGAGGGGACACATAAATGAAACAAGATTGACCATGTAGCCAGGCACGGTGGTGTGTGCTGTAGTCCCAGCTACTCGGGAGGCTGAGGTGGGAGGACTGCTTGAACCCAGGGGGTAAAGGCTGCAGTGAGTCTTGATCACACCACTGCACTCCAGCTTGGGTGACAGAGTGAGACCCTGTCTCAAAAAAACAAAACATAAAAAAAAAAAAAGGACCATGAATTGATAACTACCGAATCTGAGTGAGTACACAGAGGTTTATCATATTTTTTTTCTATATGTGTACATTTCAACACAATAGGGACCCACCCCTTGGCTAGTAGACTTTATGGGTCCAATCACACACTCATCAGGATGGCTATTATTTAAAAACAAAACAAGTCTGGGTGCGGTGGCTCATGCCTGTAATCCCTACACTTTAGGAGGCCGAGGCAGGCAGATCACAGGTCAAGAGATGGAGACCATCCTGGCCAACATGGTGAAACCCCGTCTCTACTGAAAATATAAAATTTAGCTGGGCATGGTGGCATGCACCTGTAGTCCCAGCTACTCAGGAGGCTGAGGCAGGAGAATGGCATGAACCCGGGAGGTGGAGGTTTCAGTGAGCCAAGATCACATCACTGCACTCCAGTCTGGCAACAGAGCAAGACTCTGTCTCAAAAAAAAAAAAAAAAAAAAAACAATAATAACAAGTGCTAGTGAGGATGTGGAGAAATCAGATTCCTTGTGCATCGCTGGTAGGAATGTAAAATGGTGCAGCTGCTATAGAAAGCAGTTGGCAGTTCCTTAAAAAATTAAACAGAATTACCATATGATCCAGCAATTCCACTTCTGGGTATATACTCAAAAGAATTAAGAGCGGGAGGACACAAGATACTTGTACACCCATGTTCATAGCAGGATTATTCATAACACTCAAAGGTGGAAGTAACCCAAGTATCTATCAACAGATGAAAGGATAAACAAAATGTGGTATATACACACAATGGAATATCATTCAACTTTAAAAAGGAAGGAAATTCTGACACATGCTACAACAGACAAATACTGAATGATTCCACTTACATGAGGTCCCTAGAGTAGGCAAATTCATAGAGACAAGAAGTAGAATTGGTTGCCAGGGGTTAGCAGGAGAGAGAGAGGGAGTTACTGTTTAATAGGTACAGAGTTTTAGTATGAGATGATATCAGGTTCTGGAGATGGACAGTGGTGATGCTTGTACAACTGTGAATGTATTTAATGCCACTGAGCTGCACACTTAAAAATGGTAACTTTTGTTATATGTATTTTATCATCAAAAAAAAACAAAACAAAACAAAACAAAATCCAGGGAACAAAAAAATCTCATGTTCAAACTCTTGGCTTTTCAAGGCCAGTTCAGGTCAGCCTAGACATCATACCTTAGAGAGGATCTCAAAACAAGGGTGTGGCGAGCGTTGCTAGGGGAGCAGAGCTGCGGAGAAAGGAAAAACTTCTACCTAGGCACATGGTCTAGAGTCCAAACACCACCTAAGGAAAGAAGAAAAACAAAATTTTTTTTAAGTGGGTCTGAAGGTAAGTGTTAGAGTAAGGAAAGATAGTTTAAAAAAACTAATAATAATAATCCAAGTGTAAGTAAGACCCTGAGAAAAATCCCCAAATGTAAATTCAAGCAGGCCACAAATGTAGTCAAAGACAAAACTTTTCCCAGCTCCACGTCTGCTCCCCTCCCTCTATTACAGGCTGGTGCTTCAGAGCACAGACTCCATCCGGGTTCAAATCCTAGTTCTACTACTTACTAGCCTTGAGACCTGGGGGAAGATTCTTCATCTCTGTCTGTTTCCCCATATGTAAAATGGGCTATTATAGGGATCAAATGAGTTAATATTTATAAAGCTCTTAAAACACTGTCTTTCACATAGCAAATACATGTTTGTTAAGCATTATGCCACCAACCTCAGTGGCCACCAAGCTTTCCCTCCTAAGTTTTCAGAGTGCCCCAGAAATTGCATGCAGAGAGGACAGAAAGACAAGGGAAGTAAAGCCGGGTTTAGTTTACCCCTCCACACAACTCCTCCTCCAGTGCTCGGGATGCCCGCTGAAGCTGAAGAAGCAGAGGGCCAAGCAGGGGCCAGGGGGGCAGGTGAGCTGCAGAAATCATGGCGGGGGCAGATAGCAGTGTAGGAAGAGGTCAGCACAGAGCAGGTGATGAGAATGAGGGTCAAAAAGAGGAAAGTCGGCAGAACTCTTTTTTAAAAACTAGGTGATCCCTAACTGTAGCCAAACATGAGAATCACCTTGAGAACTTTGGAAGCTACTAATACTTGGCCACTACCCCTCTAAGATTCAGATTTAATTGACTAGCGTTGAGAAACACTGGTTAACGGCCCATCAACTACATATACCCACAAGTTACCTAATAAAAGGACTCATTCCCTGAATTTCTCGTTCTGCCCATTCTCACTCTAATCCTGCATTCCCTCGCTTGACTTCATTTTTGTCCAGTTTTGACAGACCAACATTTAGTTTGGATTCTAAATAGTAATACAGACAATATTAATGTAAAAATGTAGAAGGGAAGGGAAAGAAACTAATTATCTCAATTCTACAGAAAGAAACTAGAGAAAACTTTCCTGAAGTTTTTCCTTTTCTTATTTGGGCTTTCACATTTCAAAACATAAACTAACAAGCAGACACTGTGCTGTCCAAATGAGGACAAAAGTTAGAGATCAGGGGCCAAGGGGTGTCTTAGGTCTGCTGTCCAATAGTAAATAAATTGGGAGGTGCTCCAATGAGTATACTAGGTTATTTACTCCAGATTAACCTTGGTTCCTCTGGCCACCAGTTTCTGTTGGGTTATCCAGACAGTCTCTCTCACATGCGCAATCATGCAGTTTGGATGCAGAATGGCTAACAAACCTGAGTGTCAGGCTTCACTTCCAGGCTGGCTGCTTCTCCCAGGTCACCCTAATCACACACGCATGCTTGGATGTGTAGGAATCTTACAGTTTATAACACACTCTTCACACTGCACAAGGAACTCACCAGTGAGTGAACTAAGACTGGCACTCAGGCTCCTGCCTGCCCCCAAGGACCAAGCTGCCCCTGTACTTTGGACTCCAAACCAGCAGGTCAGTTTTCACATTTCAAGTTTCCCAACACACTCATCTTCCCAAGGTGCTACTGAATAGGGCACAAATTTTCCTTCAATTTGGTATTGAGACATTCACCACAGCCCTTGCCATAATGATGACACAACTTAGAGTGTTATAAGACCAAGATTAGACAACATTGCTCTAGAACACTGTTCTAGATTAGAGCTTCTTCCAACACTAGAAAGATTCAGGACTATCGGAGCCAAAGAGATTCTAGAAAACCATTAAATTTAAACCACTTACTCTACAAGCAAGGAAACTGAGGCCCAGAGAGGTGAGGTAATCAAATAAGAAAAGGGACATAAACTGAAGAGTTTTTATTACTGTGGAAGATTCCTGTTATTCCTGGCAAGGTCAGGGGGCCCTTGCTTGCCCTTCCCATCAGAGCAGCTGAAGTCTCCTACTCACAGTTACCCTTCAAATCTCTCCACCAAATACAGGGGATAAGGCTTATTTAACCCTCAGACCAGTGCTTCTTAGACCTGGAGCGATCCTAATGCCTAACCCCAGCTCAGACCAATTAAACCAGAAATTACAGAGGTGGAGCCACCATAGGATCCCCAAAATCCGTACCTTCCCCCATGGGTTCCTTAAACCCTCCCCAGCCTGAAGGGCTTTTGCACTTGCTCTTTTCTCCAATCTGATTGCTCTTTTCTCAGATATCTGCGTGGCTCCCTCTCTCACTTCCTTCAGACCTCCGCTCAAAGGCCATTTAATCCATGAGATTTCTCTGACTTCTCAATTTAAAATAGAAGACCTTCCTCCCCACCAAACCCCTCATCCACCAAGCCTGCTTCATTTTTCTCCATAACACTTTTCACCATCTCTTATATTTTATCTTACTTATTATCTATAAATGCATACAAACCAGAATGAGCCCTATAAGAGTAAGATTTGTGTTTATTTTGTTCCTTGTTATATTCCCAGTGCCTAGAATAGTGCCTGGCACATAGCAGACCATCACATATATACTCTAAATGAACACATCAGGAACACAAATCTCAAAATATGACTCATACCAAAAGATCATAAAGAAGCAGCCGTTTGGTTGATTATACCAAAAACACTTCTTCACTGATCTCATCTTGGCACAACCCTTATCAAAAACAGGATAGAAGCCTAATGAAACAGAAACCATTCAGAAATACTTTCAGAAATAAGTATTTCTAGACAATTAATCCAATCCAATGGGTTTGTTCGTCAAAGACAATTTGTTCTGAGAAATAAACATACGGAAACAGAAAATGAACTTGAAAGGTGATGGAACAAATGGCTTTCAGATATCATCTTAGCATATGTGCAGATTCAGAAGAAAGCCTGAGAGCACTGACAGCTGTACTCAGACAGGAAGAGTTTTCAGCAGACCAGAAAGAACAGACAGGCTCCTCTCCTGGGATTACAGCCCGTGAGGTGAAGGTGCCATCTGGGATACTATTGCCTGCTTACCCCCAGACCCCTCAACCTGATGAACACCTTCAGCAACCTGAGGATGACCCTTCCTTTTCCTTTCTCCTACTTACACCCCACCTGCTTCCAAAACTCACTTGAAACCACTGACAACACTTTAAACTCTACCACATTGGAAGCACTGGAAGCCTTTGTCAAGGCAGCCACACAGCAGTTGGGGAGCATCCCGCCATTACCAAGTCTCACTGATGTCATCTGCTCCATCCCATGTCTGCCGACCCCCTGGTCCTTGCTCTTTCCTTGCCCTCTCTGGTCTTTCCCTACTTGGTCATCCTGCAAATTTCTTTAAGACTAATCCTTCCCAAACACCATTTTTATCAGGTCACTTACTCTGCTCAAAAACTCCCTGGGCCGGGCATGGTGGTTCATGCCTGTAATCTCAGCACTTTGGGAGGCCAAGGTGGGTGGATCACCTGAGGTCAGGAGTTTGAGACTGGCCTGGCCAACATGGCGAAACCCCATCTCTACTAAAAATACAAAAAAATTAGCCAGGTGTGGTGACGCATGCCTGTAATCTCAGCTACTTAGGAGGCTGAGGCAAGAGAATTGCTTGAATCCGGGAGATGGAGGTTGCAGTGAGCCAAGATTGTGCCATTGCACCCCAATCTGGGCAACAAGAGGGAAACTCTGTCCTAAAAAAAAAAAAACTTCTTCCTGTAGCCTACCATATTAGGTCCAAGCCCTGGGCCAGGCTTTCAAAAACCTCCATAATCTAGGCCTAAGACCAGGGCTACTGTGTTTTTCAGCAGCTGCCCCTCACTGGTCTTGCAGCACCAACTCACTGCCTCCCTGCTGAACAGCACCAGTAAGAGATGGGGTATAGAGACTGGAACAGACTGGACCATGTCTCTGAACTCCGTTCCTACTGAGAGCATCCTCTTCATCCTCCTCTCTTCCACCCAACCACACTCCTTCTCTCCTACTCCAGCTGCTAGCTACACTGCCCTTTGCTACCCTATCTCTACACCACACACACACCGCAGACATGCACGCATGTACTTTCATTCATTCAATAATATTGAGCACCATTACTGTGTGCCAGGCCTTGTTCTAGTCACTGTGGATACCACAGTGGACACCACAGTGAACAGAACAAATGAAATTCCTGCCCATGTAGAGCTGATAATCCACTGGAAGGAGACAGACATACAGAGACAGATTCATAAAAGTCATACTTATTCTCTTTCTCAACCAGGGCTCCTCATATGACATCAGAAGAGTGAATATATTCTCAGTTCTGAAGTGAGAGAGCAAGCCATGAGAATATGGGGGAGAAGAGGTTTTAGGCGGAGGGATGAACAAGAAGGAAGAGAAAGGCCCTGAAGCAGAAGGAGTAGGAGATATGGCTGGGAAGCAGATGATGGCAGGCCATTGCTAGGTCTTTGACTTTGACTCTAAGACGAAAGAGTACAGGAGGATTTGGAGTAGAAGAATGATGTGCTCAGACCAATATTTTATTTGTTGTAGGTGGTTCTTTTTTTTTTTAACCACTTATCCTCAAATTCTATCAGACTGACATTTTAAAAGGATCACTCCCCTCTGCCTATCCATCTCAACTGTCTATCATTAGGAAGAATTACCAGAATTTCTTCCTGATTGTTCCCAAATTTTCTAAACTAAGCACATATTACTTTTTAAATGGCAGGGTGGGGGGGGGGGGAATCTCCCCAATCCTTAAAGACTTGGCTCAAATTCCAACTCTGCCTCAAAACCCCTGTACAAGGCAGGGCTAGCCCACGCTGTACCCTATGTCCCAGCCAGCAGGACCACCAAGGTGGGCCCAGAGTCAGCAATGAGGTGGTACAACAACATTCACTGCAGGAACTGATATGAATGAATGTTTCTTTTGCTGCCCTCACTTCTCTCCTCCCATGCAGAAGTGTGTCCCTTCAGACACTCTTGCCCCCAAGTGCCTGCCTGGGTCCCAGTCTTTCTCTCAGTTGACTTAATTAATTCCTGGTAATTAAACCTACTGTTTGGTGATGATGTACTAAAGAGTATGACCTCTCCCAGGGGGTATAAATAATTTAAAACAGGACTCTAAGATGGAAATGCAAAAGCCTTAGACTCAGAGGAATGGAGCTATAATGATGGAATGACAGACACTGGGGTTCATACTTTGTGGATAGGAGGCCAGCTTCTCCTAAAGGGCACAGCACTTAGGAAGCAGCGTCAAGGGGAGACAAGTAATGAAAGATCAGAATACTTCATGGCCACCACCTCTCTCCTCCCAAATGGCCATTCAGTACATTTTGGGTACTAGAGAATGTTCCCTAGAGGTAATCCCAGCCATCTCAGAGGGTGACCTGTGTGCCAATAACCACCACCCTCAGAAAGAAAAGCCCCCTTAAGACACTTCTGGTCTGAAAGCAAATTGTTCTCTAATTGCTTTCAGTGGGGGAAATCCTGGAGGGCGAAGTTCATCTCACATGATTCTTTTATGCTCTACAGAGCACCAACTCTGGATTGGGTCCACAGTTGCTTTTATAAGCAACTGTGGAATACTGTTCTTAATTAGAATGTTTACTTATATTTAAAATCTTGAGGTTGTTCCTTTAGCAAGGCAAAGGGCATAGGGAGACCATAAGAAGAGGCTTTAAGGTAGGTATCTACTGTAACTGAATTGGCAAAAAAGAGTAGAATGCTGTTGCAAAAAGGTTCCAGAAAATTTTACTTATTTAGTTAGTTAGAGACAAAGTCCCACTCTGTCACCTAGACTGGAGTGCAGAGGCATAATCACGGCTCACTACATCCTAGACTTCCCAGCCTTGGGTGATTCTCCCACCTCAGCCTCCCAAGTAGCTGGGACTGAATACGGGTCTGTGCCACTATGCCCAGCTTTTTTTTTTTTTTTTTTGGATTTTCAGTAGCGATGGGGTTTTGCTATGTTACCTAGGCTAGTCTCAAACTCCTGGGCTCAAGCAATCCACCCACCTCAGCCCCCAAAAGTGCTGGGATTACAGGTGTGAGCCACCTTACCTGGCCTCCCCAAGACTTTAAATACAAGTACACATGCTAATTAAGAATAATAGGCCAGGCGCCATGGCTCTCACCTGTAAGCCCAGCATTTTGGGATGCCAAGAGGGGCCGATTGCCTAGCTCAGGAGTTCAAGACCAGCCTGGGCAACATGGCAAAACCCCATCTCTACAAAAAAATACAAAAAAATTAGTTGGTGTGGTGGTGCACGCCTGTAGTCCCAGCTACTTGGGTGACTGAGGTGGGAGGATCACCTAAGCCTGGTTGGTCAAAGCTGCAGTAAGCCATGATCACGCCACTGCACTACAGTCTAGACAACAGAGCGAGACGGTCTCAAAAAAAAATTTTTTTTAAAGGATTAACGGGGCCGGGCGCTGTGGCTCATGCCTGTAATCCCAGCACTTTGGGAGGCCGAGGCGGGTGGATCACAAGGTCAGAAGTTCGAGACCAGCCTGGCCAAGATGGTGAAACCCCATCTCTACTAAAAAAAATAAAAAATTAGCCGGGTGTGGTGGCAGGCGCCTGTAGTCCCAGCTACTCGGGAGGCTGAGGCAGGAGAATTCCTTTAACCTGGGAGGCGGAGGTGGCAGTGAGCCGAGATCTTGCCACTGCACTCTAGCCTGGGCGACAGAGCAAGACTCCATTTCAAAAAAAAAGAAAAAAAAAAAGGATTAACGGCTGGGCACAGTGGCTCACGCCTGTAATCCTAGCACTTTGGGAGGCCGAGGTGGGCGGACTGCCTGAGCTCAGGAGTTTGAGACCAGCCTGGGCAACATGGTGCAACCCCATCTCTACTGAAATACAAAAAAGAAAAAGCCAGACATGGCAG
Organism: Homo sapiens; assembly: GCF_000001405.40. NCBI lineage: Eukaryota > Metazoa > Chordata > Mammalia > Primates > Hominidae > Homo > Homo sapiens. The sequence continues at coordinate 84,757,808 of NC_000015.10, read as the reverse complement.
CGTGTGCCTGTAGTCCCAGCTACTTGGGAGGCTGAGGCAGGAGAATTGCTTGAACCTGGGAGGTGAAGGTTGCAGTGAGCTGAGATCATGCCACTGCACTCTAGCCTGGGGGACAGAGTGAGACTCCATCTCAAAAAAAAAAAAAAGATTAATGGCAGCCAGGCACAGTGACTCACACCTGTAATCCCACATTTTGGGAGGCCGAGGTGGAAGGATCGCTTCAAGCCAGGAGTTTGAAACCAGCCTGGTCAACACAGCGAGATCCTGTCTCTACAAAATAAATAAAAAAATAAAACTAATTAACCAGGCATTGTGGCCCATGCCTGTAGTTCCCACTCTGGAGGCTGAGGTGTAAGGATTGTTTGAGCCCAGGAGGTCAAGACTGTAATGAGCTATGATTGCACCACTGCACTCCAACTCCAGCCTGGGTAACAGTGCTGGACCCTATCTCTCAAAAAAAAAAAAAAAAGGAAAGAAAGAAAGAAAAGAAAAGAAAAGAATAATGATCAGGGACAGTGGTACACCTGTAGTCCCAGATACTTGGGAAGGTGAGGGCCAGATGCTGTGGCTCATGCCTGTAATCCCAGCACTTTGTGAAGCTAAGGTGGAAGGATTATTTGAAGCCAGGAGTTTGAGACTGGCTTGGTCAATATAGCAAGACCCCATCATCACTACAAAAATAATTTTTTTTTTTAATTGAGACAGTCTCACTCTGTCACCCATGCCAGAGTACACTGGCGTAATGTCGACTCACTGCAACCTCTACCTCCCAGGTTCAAGCGATTCTCCCACCTCAGCCTCCCAAGTAGTTGGGACTACAGGCGCGCACCACCATGGCCAGCTACGTTATTGTATTTTTAGTAGAGACGGGGTTTCACCATGTTGACCAGGCTGGTCTCGAACTCCTGACCTCAAGTGATCCACCCACCTCGGCCTCCCAAAGTACTGGGATTACAGGAGTGAGCCACTGTGCCTAGCAAAAAAAAATTTTTAAAGGGAGGATCGTTTGAGCCTAGGATTTCGAATCCAGCCAGGGCAATGTAGCAAGACTCCTATCTCTTAAAAAATATATATAATATTTTTAAGGGCCTAAAGATTTATAGCCTTAATAAAGTATTAAATGGTGATAGTTTTTATAATCTCAGCCAGTTAAGTTCAAGTCTGGGGAGGATAACAGCACAAAGGCAGATAGCAGCCCAGCCACATAGACCAGAGCTTTGGCTGGGCCAAGCCCAGAAAAATCTGAACTGCTCAGTGCCCACCCCTGGGCCCCCTTCTCTGAAAATGCCAAAGCTCTGCCTCAAATGTGTCATCAGGCCCTACAATGTCCCTGAGATGGCTTGCAGTTACAATGGACACCTACCTTCAAAACCTCTCTGTGTAGTCTCACTCTGCCCTTTGGCTTGTAAAGGAATACCCTCAATTTCAGGAACTGAACTGACAAAAAAGTAGAATGTTGTAAACTACAGCAAACCAGGGGAATAAAAGCGGAGCCAGAGTCCACTCTGCTGGCTCACATTGGCTCTAGCTTGCCAAGGGCAATGTGGGTAAAATGTTCCTGTATCCAAAGACTAGCTGTAAGGAGCAGCCCTCCACCTTGCCCCTAGTATGAGCTAAACCCCTAAAAGGGGGGAAATCCCAGGAATGCATGTGAGGGTTACAAATGGGAACTCTCTCTCTTAACAGTCCCTTGATCCCCAGGTTGTAACATCAAGGCCTCTAGAATCCCCATGCTGTTGTGTGAGAGACTGAGCCCAATGGTCCATAGGAGTCAGCCCAGAGCCACACCAGAAAAGGAATGATTTCTTTAGAAACACCCCTAAAGAAAGCAACCAACTAATGAAGCTAGAAGCCAAGTCACACTCTACTCATCAGCTCCTCCCAGATAGGTGCAGCCCTGCCTCTCTGAATTCAGGGACTATCCCAATCAGAGGTGCTAGCCTAATCCACCTGTTTGAATGCATATCTAACAAAAGCATCTTACCCTGAGAGTGACAGAGGAGGCCAACTCCAACATCATACATCTCTATAGGGACATAGTTCTAGGCAGTTTTTGAGTTTTTGCTTTAGGGCATTCAATGTTTGTCTCCAAAATGAAATTCGGCTTATAGGATGCTTGTTTGTTTTTGTAAAGATGATATATGTGTCTGTATAAAATTCAAATGATAGGAAGAAAATATTAAGAATAAAGTAAAAACCACCCCAATCCCTCCACTCAGAGGTAAGATCTTACTGTAAACTCTGTCCTTACAGAGAAGCAAGTCTATTCTGAGTTAGCCCTGGGATGTAGGTCTCGTGTTCTCTGGATGAGCCTGTGGATTTATTTTTATGGAGGAAGACCCTTAACGCCACCTCTGGACTACTCAAAAAAGTTTCAAGCTGGGCACAGTGGTGCATGTCTATAGTCCCAGCTACTCAAGAGGCTAAGGCAGGAGGATTGCTTGAGCCCAGGAGTTTGAGGCTAGCCTAGGCAATATAGAGACCTCATCTCTTAAAAAAATAAAAAAAAATTAAAAAAAACTTCTTTAAAGTTTTCAAATCTCAGCCAGGTGCAGTGACTCATGCCTGTAATCCCAGCACTTTGGGAGGCAGAGGCAGGAGGATCACTTGAAGTTAACAGTTTGAGACCAGCTTGGCCAACATGGTGAAACACCAACTCTACTAAAAAAAAAAAAAAAAAAAAATTAGCTGGGTGTGGTGATGGACGCCTGTAGTCCCAGCTACTCCGGAGGCTGAGATCACCTGAACCTGGGAGGCAGAGGTTGCAGTGAGCTGAGATCGCACCACTGCACTCCAGCCTGGGCAACAGAGTGACACTCTGCCATGAAAAAAAAAAAAAAAAAAACAACTCAGGGGATTGCAATAATCCTAGACCTCTCAAAAATAAAAAGTTAAAGTCATGCAGTCCCCCTACGCCACCACACATACTGATTGGAGACCAGAAGTTAATCTGTTCAGCAGACATACTCCTTTTCTTCACTCAACACAGTGGCAGTCGTTCTACAATCTATCACACACATAGACATTATCATCCTTTTCATCCCCCAGAGTGTGTTGATGAGAGAAAGGGAGCCACCATTACCTCTCTTTTTTTTTTTTTTTTTAAGAGACGGGGTCTTTCAATGTTGCCCAGGCTGGTCTCGAACTCCTGGGATCAAGCAATTCTCCCACCTCAGCACTCCCAAAGTGCTGGGATTACAGGTGTAAACCACCATGCCGGGCCCCACCATCATCACCTTTTTTTTTTGAAATGGAATCTAGCTCTGTCGCCTAGGCTGGAGTGCAGTGGCACAATCTTGGCTCACTGCAACGTCAGCCTCCTGGGCTCAAGCAATTCTCCTGCCTCAGCCTCCCAAGTAGCTGGGACTACAGGCGTGTGCCACCACAATCAGCTTGTTTTTGTATTTTTAGTAGAGATGGGATTTTACCATATTGGCCAGGCTGGTCTCGAACTCCTGACCTCAAGTGATCCGCCCACCTCATCCTCCCAAAGTACTGCTGGGATTACAAGCACGAGCCACCGTGCCCAGCTGCCCATTATTACCTCTGGATTTAACACTTTCAGAATCTGAAATGGAAAAGGTAAGGAACTTAACCAAAGTCACGCAGTGACCAGGGGACGACAGCCCATAAGTGCTGACAGCTTTGAGGAATGACTGCCGTGGCACCAAACTCGAAAGGTATTCATTAACTTTTCTCTGAGCCATAAAAAGGATCAAATGTGTCATTTCAACAAACACACACACACACAATTCCCCTGCTGTTAAACAAAAGCAAATGGTTGGCTGAAGTAGCACTCTGATCCTCTGAAAACATTTCCCAAAAGTAATTAGCTAATGGATAACACATCCTACACCCTTGGAGCAAGCAAAGGGAGGCCGCTGGACCAGATGCCCACAAATGAAAACACACAGATTTTGGGTACATGCAATTGCTCTACCTCAAGGACATCAAACATTCAGAACTCTCTCCTATTCAGGATGTTCCTATTTTTTAAGAAAAGTTTAAACAAACTTACATGTAAAGATAGGAATAAGGCCAGGCATAGGGGCTCATGCCTGTAATCCCAGCACTTTAGGAGGCCAAGGCAGGCGGATCATTTGAGGTCAGGAGTTCAAGACCAGGCTGGCCAACATGGTGAAACCCCGTCTCTACTAAAAATACAAAAATTAGCTGGGTGTGGTGGCGCACGCCTGTAGTCCCAGCTACTCAGGAGGCTGAGGCAGGAGAATCGCTGGAATCCGGGAGGTGGAGGTTGCAGGGAGCCAAGATGGCACCATTGAACTCCAGCCTGGGCAACAGAGTGAGACTCCATCTCAAAAATAAAATAACAAAATAAATTAAATTAAATTAAAACTCACCATGATCTGGCTGAGTTGAGGGTGGGAATTGTTTTCTTTTCTGTCTCCAATGTGTAGGGAAGATAAAGATCCTAAATCAGTGTTTCCTTCACATGCAGCCAAAAGCCCCCTACCTCCTCCAAGAGTTCACAGACCTCTGTTCCCAGAACAACTTCCGACGCATCTGCCCACAACCACTGCTAGCCACAAATTTACGCACACTACTTAGAATCTGCATACCTTCTCCATTAACCTAACTCTATGGAACGCTCCTTTCTGATATTTTATTTCTATTACTCGTCCCATTCCTTAAGTTTCACAAATACAGGATCCCACATAAACAATACAGAATTATTCATTCTATCAATTAATAATCATTGTTGACTATACTAAATAGTGCTTGAGGAAAGATTATGTTAACAGAAAGGGTTCGTTTTCATGGAGCCTGAGAAAAACAAACAGGAATTGAGGAGCAAGTGTTTGTTAGTATGTCCCAGCCCTGGCCAGAAAGTGAGGAGCAATGGCCAGAGGACAGAAACATCTGTCACTCTGCAGTTTCATTTCTCATGGTCAGTTAATATCCTAAGTTTATTCAGGAGTCTCTTCCAAGTTTGGTTAGTGAGTCAGTCTCTCTGGATCCAATCAGCTCTGAGCACCCTACAAAACTAAATTTCTGGTCTACGAAGCAGAGAAACAGATCCTGAAGCACAGTGATGCCCCCCAAATAAAGCTGCCCCACGATAACATCTATCTCCACTCTCTAACTGCAACGTCTATCATGGGATGTATGTGATGTATCTAAGACTCTCTGGTAGCTCCCCATGGCTTACAGAATAAAATCCAAACTCCTTGACCTGCCTTTCACAGCCCCAACTTAGCTTTCCAGCCTCATCCCCAAACACTGGGGGCTACCATGGCTCCATGCTTTCATACCTATGATTCTATCTACCTAGAATGTTCTTTGCTCAATCTTATTTGCCTGTAAAACTCCTACTCTTCCTCCAAAGCCTAGTTCAAAAGTCACCTCCTCCCTGAAGCCTATTTACCCAGGGATTTCATTCTTACTGTTTCAAATAGCTCTTTAACCGCAACTGTGCTAGAGAACTTAAGTACACTGTAACTCATCCTTTAAAATATCTGAGCTCCACTGGATACTCTAAGCTCCAGGAAGAAACTCACTATGTATCCCACAAGTTCTTATACAGTGTCAAGCCTGAAATGGGAGCTTGATGTTGAATGACTGATCACATGGAACATGGCATTAAGTTATTAAGAGAAGATGAGAGGAAAAAAAAGTCACACGAAATTCAAGAAATAAATTATCTATACATTTAATCTCATTCAAAATGACCACAGTATGACTGAGATGCAACGTGGATATTTCAAACATTTAAATAATAAAACCAAAGGCCTGACTGGTGGCTCATGTCTGCAATCCCAGCACTTTGGGAGGTGGAGGTGGGAGGATCACTTGAGGCCAGGAGTTCAAGGCCAGCCTGGGCAGCATAGTGAGACACTGTCTCTAGTTTTTTTTGTTGTTGTTGTTTTCGTTTGTTTGTTTTTTGAGATGGAGTCTCGCTCTGTCACCCAGGCTAGAGTGCAGTGGCTCAATCTTAGCTCACTGCAACCTTCACCTCCCAGGTTAAAGCAATTCTCCTGCCTCAGCCTCCTGAGAAGCTGGGACTACAGGCGCGTGCCACCATGCCCAGCTAATTTTTATATTTTTAGTAGAGACAGGGTTTCGCCATGTTGGCCAGGATGGCCTCGAACTCCTGACCTTAGGTGATCCACCCGCCTCAGTGTCCCACAGTGCTGGGATTACAGACATGAGCCACCGCATCCAGCTTGTCTCCAGTTTAAAAAAAAAAAAAAAGTAATAAAAATTTTTAAAATAATAAAAGCAACTAATATTTGAACCCAGTGCTCAACTGTTTACATGACTTAATCTGTACAACAACTGTATGAGGGAGTTTTATCTGCACTTAAAATGTGAGCAAACTGAGGCACAAGAGAGGCTAAATAACTCAAGATCATTGGTTAGCAAGTGACAGGAGCAAAATGCAAACTTCAGTGGTCTGGCTCCAGAGCCAGTGGGCTCTGAATTCAGGCAGACGTGCTTTGAATCCAGGCTATGTTACAAATGTGGCTTTGAATAAGTCATCTATCCCCTCTGCATTTATTTCTTTGTAAAATGGGTATGATAACCTCTTTTTCTTAGGGTGTAGAGAGGACTAAGTTAAATACAATAATGTATGCAGAAGTCTTTAAAATTGGTTCTCCCACCTGGCAGGTACTCCATAAATGTTAATTCATTTTTGCCTTCCCTTCCTAAAAGCTGGATGAAGCAGACTCACAGAGGCAAAGGATCTCCCCCAGACTGCTTGAGGCTTTTCCAAACAGATCAGGTAGTTAAGCCACTCAACCCAGAAAGCCTTGCCTTACCTGCTTATCTCAAAAGTCCATTCCCTGCACAGGGGCTAGACACCTTTTAAAATGTAAATATCATGTCATTCCCTTAAACCCTTCAAAGGTTCCTAATTACACTGGAGATACAAACCAAACTAAGGAGGGAGGCATTCTGCCCCCAAGGCCCCATTGCTCTAATTTGGCCCTAGTCTCCAGACTAATCTCCCCTCTCCCTTTCCCCCTCCAGCCCCACAGGCCTCTTTCACTTCCTCCTTGCTACAGTCAGCTCCACACATGGTTAACTCTTAACCCTCCTTCAGATCTTGGCCTAAACATCACTTCCCCAGGGAAGGCTTCCCTGAGCCCCCAACTCAAATCGGTCTCTTACCCCTCTCTTCAGCTTTCTCTTCTTATATTCACTATAGTTTGAATTATTAGTTTACCACTTCCAAGTTTTACTCGAAAGACACCTTCTTAGGAAGCCTTCCCAGGCCACCGTATAATATAAATTCAACTACCACCCCTGATACCTCAGATTCTCCTTCCCTGCTTCCTTCTTCTCCTTAGCATTTCACACTTTTTAACAGACTATATTTTTGTTATATATTTTATTTATTGTCTTCTCCCCCACTCCCAGGAAAGCACCACAAGGGCAATCATTTTTGCTTTCTTTGTTCACTGCATCTAGAACAATGCCTAACACGTATTTGTTGACAAATATTTGTTGTTGAATAAATTTCCACGACTATTTATTTATTTTGAGATGGAGTCTCACTCTGTAGCCCAAGCTAGAGTGCAACGGCACGATCTCAGGTCACTGCAACCTCCGCCTCCCGGGTTCAAGCAATTATCGTGCCTCAGCCTCCCAAGTAGCTGGGATTACAGGCATGCACCACCACACCCGGCTAATTTTGTATTTTTTTAGTGGAGACGGGGTTTCACCATGTTGGTCAGGCTGGTCTCGAACTCCTGATCTCAGGCGATCCACCCGCCTCGGCCTCCCAAAGTGCTGGGATTACAGGCGCGAGCCACCGCGCCCGGCCACGACTATTAATTATTAGACTTTCCCAATGGCTAAGAACTAAAACATGGTATCTTTCTGGCTTACCAATGTACTCCCAACACCTAGCTCAGTGCCTGGCACAGAGTAAGTGCTCAGTAAAAATTTATTTAATGAATCAAAGCCACAACTAGTTGAAAAATTGGAAAATGATCAAAATGGACGCACTAGCACCACACTTCTGCCCCTTTCACTGTGTAACGTAACAGTGAGGTTGAGGAAACAGACTACTAAAATACCACCAAGCATCCACCAGGCCAGGAATCTGTCTGTCCACATCCTCCGCACTCTGCCACACTGTGCACCACACTGCACCCGCGACAGAAGCACCCTACAGGCCCTCCATGAGCACAGGCCTGAACTCAAGTGGGCAAACCATAAGCCAAATACCGTCTTACTCCCCAAGTCCCATTCTTCTACTGCCAGTCCTATTCTAGACTAGTCCTGGATGCCAAACATGCTTCCCTGGGTGGGCCTGTGGACTTATTCCAATCCAGGACCTTTAATGCCACCTTTGGCCTACTCAAAAAATGGTTTAAAATCCCTAAACAGCTTCAATAATCCTGCAGTACTCAGGAGCAGGCATACCTAAGGTCATACGGACCCCTCCCCCTCACAAACGCTGATCCAAGGCCAGGAGGCCATCTGTCCAGCAGACGCTCTCCTGTCCTCCCTCAGGTCACACTGAGCCTCCCGCCAACCCCCTCGTTGGCAGGAAGAGCCCTTGCAGAGAGACAATTTTCACCCTGATCAACAGGCCTGGTCACCCCTGAGGACCCCAACTCTGGAGCTCTAGGAATACCTGTCTGCTCCGGGAGAAACCTTCCTCAGGGTCAGAACTTGGGCTCAGGGGAGGGGAGTACTGAGGAGCGCCAAAGAGGGTCGTTCCCCGAAGTGTCTGCCCTGTGACGGCGACAGCTCTTCGGGCGGCGGGGACGGTCGGGCTGACAGGCCGTCCCAGAGGGAGAAAGTGGCACCGTTATCCGTGCCCGGGCTGGGGGCCGCCGGCTATCGCCGAGGGCGGCCGCACGTCCCGCCCAGCGCGGAGGACAGCAGCGTGCCCGGCCTGCCAAGGAGCGGCGGTCGCAGCGGCGGTCGCAGCGGCGGAAGGGGCCGGCGCCCGACGGCCGGGGGCGGGGTGGGGTGGCGGCCCGGGCCCGCCAGGCGGCGGTCGGGGGAAGTGGCTGCCGCCTCTGGCGGCGGCCAGGGTCCGCCAGGCTGCAGGGCCGGGCCCCGGCTCGGGCTCGGACTCGGTCCCGGCTGCGATCCTCCCGGGCCCAGGCTGGGGCTGCCCCGGCCCGCAGGCCCCGCTCGGCCCGGCCCGCGGGGGGCGCTTACCTGGCGGCGGCGGCGGCGACTGCAGGCCAGAGTCTCGGCCGCGCGCGTCCCCAGCGCCGGCTGCGGGAGCCACAACATGGCGACGGCGATGGCGGGCGGGGCTGCGGCTCCGGGGGCGGAGCGGGGGCGGGAGCCGGCCTGGCGGCGGGACCTGGCTGGGGCTGCCGCGGCGGGGGATTGGGGGGGGGGGGGGGCAGGCGGAAGGCGACTCGGACCTGGGCACCGGCCCAGGACGGTGCGGTGGAGGGGCTGCCCCGGCCTGGGCCCGGCCTCCCGCCTCCCGCCTCCCGCCCGAGGCGGGCTGCGCGGCGCAGGCCCGGCGACGGCGACGACGGCGGCGGCGGGTAGGGCGGGGCGGGACGCGACGGGACGGGGCGGGGCGGGGACGGCGCCGCTCAGGGCTGGACCCCCGACCCCGGCCGGCCCCCGCCCGGCTCCAGTCCCCGCCACCCGTGCTAGGCACCCTGTGCGGTCGGGCAGGCAGCCGCTGCCAGCGACCTGGGCCTCTTGTCCTCTGACGCGCCTCGGGGCAGGGGCAGGGGCCGAGGCCGCCCACTAGAGGAACAGGATCTGCCTACGCAGCTGTCTCGCCCGGCAAAGAGCGCCCAGGACCCGGGACTGCGTCCTCTTCACTGAGACCTGGCGCATAGGGGGCCTAGTCGAGGCTGTTAAGTGAAAGCAAGCAGGGGTGGCGTGGGCCTGGCGCTCAGGTGCGCCCTAAATGTTTGGTCATAGCTGGCTACAAGGACATTCGCGCAGGCTTGGAGGTGCGGGGCAGCCTGACGTGTTGCCTCTGGGGTAACCGAGGGACGCGCGGCAAACAGAGATGGAGGACTGGCAACGGGTGCCTCGAAGAGGTAGACTGGGAGATCTCTCAGGGTTACTGGGGAAACGATGACTGTGCAGGGTGAGAACTCAGTGAGTCTGGCAGAAGGCTGGGAGGGTGACCGGCAGGACCTTCCAAGAACCCGGCGTACCTGGAAACTGGGTCCGCAGCATTAGGGCGGCAGCAAGGTCAGGGTGTGGGAACACGGAGATGAGGCCCTGGTGACTAGGAGTGAGCACACACTGCTAACCATGGAGAAATTCCTTCTCCAGGAAGGAGATGCAAATGTGCAAGATGGCTGGAACTAACATGCAGCCGGAGCCTGCTGTGCACCAGGCACAGAACTGAGTTGAAGAGCTTGTCTAAAGAGTATGTTAGCCAATGAAGCAATGGAGTTAATAAAGGGTGATGATTTCAAATGTTTGGCAGTGAGAGAGAGAAAAGTAGGCCTGGAGCTCAAGAAGTACCAAGAGTAAAGGAGAAAGTTGGGTCCTACTGTGGAAGCTGAGGCAAAAGCATCCCTTAAGCCGAGAAGTTTGAGTTCAGCCTGGGCAACATAGCGAGACCCTCCCTCTCTGCAAAAGAGTAAAGGGAAAAGTTGATTGTTTTTTGTTTTTTTTTTTTGTCTTTGGAGACGGAGTTTCGGTCTCGCAGCCCAGGCTGTAGTGCAATTGCGTGGTCTCGGCTCACTGCAACCTCTACCTCCAGAGTTCCAGTGATAATCCAGCCTCAGCCTTCAAAGTAGCTGGAATTACAGGCGCACGCCACCATGCCTGGCTTTTTTTTTTTTTTTTTTTTTTTTTTTTTTTGAGAGAGAGTTTCGCTCTTGTTGCCCAGGCTGCAGTGCAATGGCACAATCTCGGCTCACTGCAACCTCTGCCTCCTGGGTTCAACCGATTCTCCTGCCTCAGCCTCCCGAGTAGCTGGGATTACAGGCATGCGCCACCATGCCTGACTAATTTTGTATTTTTAGTGGAAATGGGGTTTCAACATGTTGGTCAGGCTGGTCTCAAACTCCTGAACTCAGGTCATCCACCCGCCTCGGCCTCCGAAAGTGCTGGGATTACATGCATGAGCCACCGCACCCGGCCCTAATTTTTGTATTTTTAGTAGAGATGGGGGTTCGCCATGTTGGCCAGGCTGGTCTCGAACTCCTGACCTAAGGTGATCCACCTGCCTTAGCCTCCCAAAGTGTTGGAATTACAGGCATGAGCCACCATGCCTGGCCGGTGATTTTTTTTTTTTTTTTCCTAACTTGAGTGGGGAGACCTTAACTAAAGGAGCTGAGAGGGGAGAATGGCAGATAGATGTAGGATAATTGATGGTGCAAGAAACCAGAAAAGGAAAAGTAGATGGGAAGGGGGAAAGGGGTGAGCAAAAAGTCAGAGAAGTCCGCCTCTTCCTACAAGATTTAAAGAGTGCATAAAGATTGAAATATTTTGAGGTAGGGAGGCATGCATGCTTCCATGGATCAGCTGCCTGGATTACCCTCTACAATCATCCTTAGGGCAGCTGGGGTCACTGTCCTTTAAAATTTAAGTACAATTGACTCCAAACCTGTGTACCACTTAAGAAACCCAGCATACCTGCCAATATCTCCAGAGTTTCATTGGGAACTTACATTTCTCCTAATTATCTCAGGCCCTAATTTCTTGTTTGCAAAAAATATTGTGCTCTTTGGAAGATTTGTCACCATATCCCAGATATTAGTCCATTTATATTACCTCAAAATATTGCACCCTACCTATAAGCAGGAAAAATGCCCAATATTATATTATTATATTATAGTTATATGATTGTTAAATAAACTAGAGTTTGTGGCCATTAAAAATCATGGTAAATAAAAAGATTTAATGATGTGGGAAATCTTTATAATTAAAAGCACATTATAAGGTGATATAGCAGATGGTAATATATAAATATACATAAATAAGTATAATGCGTAGATTTTAAAATGAGACTTTTCTTCTGTGACATCTATATTTTCTTATTTTTATAGTGCATGTATATTTCTCCTGGAAGCAGGGAAATGGTATCTTTAAGTAGCTTTTAAAAGTATTTTTAAGAAAGGTGTTTTTTAAAAGATATTTATGGGGTTCGAAAGAAAAAAATATTAGGGCTGGGCATGATGGCTCATGCCTGTAATTCCAGCTACTTGGGAGGCCGAGGCTGGTGGATCACCTGAGGTCAGGAGTATGGGACCAGCCTGGCCAACATGGTGAAACCCCATCTCTACTAAAAGTACAGGCGTGGTGGCACGCCTGTAGTCCCAGCTACTTGGGTGGCTGAAGCATGAGAATCACTTGAACCCAGGAGGTGGAGGTTGCAGTGAGCTGAGATTGCACCACTGCACTCCAGTCTGGGCAACAGAGTGAGAATCTGTCTCAAAAGAAAAAGAAAAATATATTAGGACTCTGGAAAGGAATTTGGAAATGAATCTTTGAAGTGTAGATGGGACTTTAGCAAATAGAGATGGGCTGAGTAAGGAGACTGTCCCAGGCAGAAGGAACAGTACAACCAAGAACCCACAGTGGGAAATAGATGGAGTGTTCAGAGGGGAGCACCAAGAAATCCATTTGGCTGGAGCACAGGACTGGTGTAGAAGAAAAGTAGGGGAATCAATGTGGAAAGGTAAGGTAGGAAATGGGGTTTCATGGACTAAAATAAAAGGAAAAATAATGACTATATCAAAAATGGTCCTGAATGCCAAGCTGAACCCTGTGTCTTTTGCATGTCAGGAAGAACCACTGAGGCTTGAACAGTGCAGGTAATAAATTTGCAAATAAATTGTCCTGTAACTTCTTACTCAATGAGGTTTGAGGTCTCAACCCATCAGTCCTAATATTTGGACATCTAATTGACTCAGAGCAATGAGTTAGGGGCAGCAGTCTTTGCATTACAGCTGTTTACAGACTGAAAGTTGGGCCTTGCTTCTCTGGCTATTAATGACTACAATTTCTATTCACCAGCACAGTTTCAGAGCGAGAACAAATTAGCAAAGAGTAAAATGGAAAGGAAAAAGAAATGTGCACCTTAAACTAGTACTTTGAAAACTTTTTTGACTGCAATCCTCCATAAGAAATGTATTTTACACCTCAACCCAGAACATACGCATGCCTGCGCGCACACACACACACACACACACACACACACACACACACCCCGTAAGACGAAAGTTTCATGAAATACTACCCTTATTTTATGAAATGCACTCTGATATTTTCAACTGATTAATCTTATTCTTTTTAAATGCTGATCAGGACCTACTACATTGATTCCATAACCCACTGCTGGGTCACAAAGGACATTGAAAAGAGGCTCAACTATAGCCAGATAGCCTGCACCCTTAAGCTTGCCATGTTTACATGTCCCAGAAATCAACAGGACAGACGAGACTCTTCTAAGATGCTGTGGAGGGGTGGGATGGAAGGATTGACAGGAGCCATGTTTGGGTTTCTCTTCCCTTCTCAGTATATATTTCCTAATATCAATATTTCTCAGGGGCTATAAACATTTTCTTCTTTGTCCAGCTCAAGATACAGATTGAACTTCAAACAAGGTAGACCAGAGACAATTTTTTATTTGAATGAATAGAATGGTGGACTAAAATAAAAGGAAAAATAATGTCTTGATTGTAACTGTTATCTTAGTTGTGACAATACATTGAGGCCATCTTATCTAACACTGTTGGAGTATTATAAGGGCAATAAGTTTAATCTCTTCCTTATAAGTTTGGAAGCAATGGAAAGGTGAAAATATCAGCTTTATTACCAATAAAGCTGAACTGAAGAATGTGGCTTAGATGGTGGCCAATAAGCTTTTTAATATTTTTCCCTGAATTAAAATTATTTCCAGCCAGGCATGGTTGCTCACACCTGTAATTCCAGCACTTAGGGAGGCAGAGGTGGGAGGATTGCTTGAATCCAGGAGTTAAAGACCAGCCTGGGCAACATAGCAAGACCCTGTTCTCCATAAAAAGGAAAAAATAAAAAATAAAATTATTTTCCCAAAACCTCCATTCTCCCCTTTGCAGAGGCCTAACCATATTAACCGTGTCTAATTAGAGAAGATTGCACCCTCTCTTAGGTCAGGCAGGTCTGAATTCAGCAGTTAGGTAAGTCTCTGCTGGAAGAATCAGAACAACTTCACTCCTACCTGCCCTTCTATGGAAACAAAAGGATTTAGAGGATAAGGATAAGGATTTACATCCCCTTCCCTACTCCTGATGCCCAAAAAATTAGACCTGGCCCAATAGTTCATCCTTTAATTGGAAAAGAATATTTAAGCAGTGAATAACAACAAATGGCAAATATACACCCTAATATTTCATTTTAACTTCAAAACTATAAAGAACACCCACTTGCCTTGCCAATCTTTAGACCTAGGACCAAACCTTTTTTGATTATTGTTCTTGAGCTGCCTTTCTTACATCAATCATATCCACGATGCATTTTCTATGCTTTCCTATCCTTTTTTTTTTTTTTTTTTTTGTCAGTCACCTAGGCTAGAGTGTTAAGAGTACAGTGGTGTGATAATGACTCACTGCAGCCTCAACCTCCTGGGTACAAATGATCCTCCCACCTCAGCCTCCTGAGTAGCTGGGACTGCAGGCGTTCACCACCATGCTTGGCTATTTACAAATACATATATATATATAAAACCTGGCTTCCAAGTTGACTGTGTACTTAAAACTTCTTACAAAGCAGTATAAGTAGAGGCTTTAAAAAAAAACCTTTTGTAGTTCTCTTGCTCACATCTGGTTTAGTAGTAATTTCAACTGGTCTTTAGCTAATATTTTCAAAGCATGCAACTGATATGTCATAGAGACAGCTCTTTTCATGCTTATGTTTAATCTATGTAATTTTAATAAACTGATGGATAATTCATCAGTTTATTAAACTCTGGCATATAGCTACCATAAATAGGTTTAGGACCAAACACAGCAGACTGTTATTAGGCATGTAGCTCAACTGGCAGGAATGAGTATGTAGGTATTCCAGAAAGTAACCCACTAGTCCAAAGCATTTAACTGTCCTTGAGCATTAGCAATATATTTATTAGAAGGGAATGAAAAGTGTTGGTTCTGGAGAGTCCACTAGAAGGAGAGCAGTTAATGCACAGTTAATGCTCATATGCTAGGATGACCAACACTGTGCATATTTCATAACTTTCTTCTTCCATCATTTATCCATTTCATAAATGTTTATTGATATTCTGGACAGTGCCAGACACTATGCTAGGCCCTGAAGAGGCATAGCTTAATGAAGAGGAGGAAACTGATGTATAAACAAGGTGAAGAGTCTGGAAGAAAGAAGGAAGAAAGTAGGAGAGCAAATCCTTCTAACCTTCTCTCCACCCCACGCCCTCAAAATCACTGACCCTCCAGTCCCATTTAGCTAAAAACAGCTTTAAATGGCTTAGAATTGGTATGGCTATCAAAGAAGTTCAAATGTTAAGACTACTTACTACATTAGCAAAGTATACATACCTTATGTACTTTCAATGCTAAAGAGATAATGCAATTGGTACAGTCAAGAGAAAACCGTGGCAGGGTACATTGCTATCCTTTAAAAAAGCAATTTGAGGCCGGGCGCGGTGGCTCATGCCTATAATCCCAGCACTTTGGGAGGCTGAGGCGGGTGGATCACCTGAGGTCAGGAGTGCAAGACCAGCCTGGCCAACATGGTGAAATCCTGTTTCTACCAAAAAATAAAAAATAAAAAAATTAGCTGGGCATGGTGGCGCATGTCTGTAATCCCAGCTACTAGGGAGGCTGAGGCAGGAGAATCATTTGATCCTGTGAGGCAGAGGTTGCAGTGAGCTGAGATCATGCCACTGCACTCCAGCCCGGGCGACAGAGAGAGACTCCCCTCAAAAATAAAATAAAAAAAAAAGAGAAATACTACTCCCCAAAAGAAAACAGCCACACACACAACAATATTTACCATAGTACTTATTGAATGATAGTGAAAATTTAGAAACATTATGAATGGTTAAGTAACTGGTGATGTGAAACGTATAACTTATTGACACGAAGAAACATTTGATTACATATGAAATGAAAAAAGATACAGTTTGCTGGCACATGCTAAGAACCACTAAATTGTATGCTTTAAAGGGGTGAGTTTTGTGAATCAATTTTCTTAAAAAGATACTATTGTATATTTTTGCTTTTGTATCAACTAAGATCAGCAGGGAACAGATGAACCGCTCAAAATGTGTATCCGAGGAGAGTTAGTAAAGGGACAGTGTACAGAAATGTAAGCAGGGTTGAGGGAAACCAAAAAGGGACAGTGAAGCACCCCAGGTCTAGCATCTACTGGGAAGCCATTATCAACCACTGGCCCGAAGGGGCAAAGAGATGGAACAGTTACCAGTCCTTATGTAGGAGAAGGACAGCCAACAGGAGCTTGGAGGAAAGAAGAGCCATACTTCTCTTCTTTCTCTCAGGTCTCCTTCAGTACCTCCCACTGGCTGAGCCAGCAGGAAGCCTACAAGCAAGGAACCCAGATGGTGCTGCTTTCAAAGTCCACCTCTGCAGGTAAAGAGCAGAGTGCAAAAGGGTGAAGGGTGGATCGGTAGGAGCAAAGGCAAGAATACCTAGCAGGTGTGTGATCATCTGACAGTGTGGAAACTGCCAAAGCATGTAGCCAAGGGCCTTAAGGGAACCTGGAAAACCAAGGCTTCTAGAGATAAAAAGCTAAGGTAGCAAGAGGGCAAGTAAGACAGGTGGAAGGGGCAGAAAAGAGTAACTGATGAGGACGAGGGCCAGAAATGGGCCAGAAATGAGACCATTTTATTGTTTGGTTAAATACTGAGCTGGAGTCTGAGCTAGGGAAGAAATTAAGAGGACATATGTCTGAGTTGAGTTGAACTGGAGCATTAAAAATTCTTCCACAATTGGCTCTTAGCCTATATTTCTTCTTCCTAGCTAAATTACATGCATTACACAAATAAATGTTTGGTGCCTATCATGTGCCAGGAACTGTTAGGCCCTGGGGATTTAGGAGGGAACAAAATTAACCTCCTTGGCCAGGCACAGTGGCTAATGCCTGTAATCTCTGCACTTCGGGACACCGAGGCAGGAGGATTGCTGGCGGCCAGGAGTTTGAGACCAGGCTGGGCAACATAGAGACCCTGTCTCTACAAAAAACAAACAAACAAACAAACAAAAAACCTAGGCATAGGGGCACATGCCTGTGGTCCTTGGGAGGATGAAGCAGGAGGATTGCTTGAGCCCAGGAGTTCAAGGCTGCAGTGGCTGAATTGACTACTTATACATATCCCCCTACCCAGTGCCTAATCTTGTGTTTATCATTTTCTTGTTCTTAATGTATTTATACGTACGTGTGTGTGTGTGTGTGTGTGTGTGTATTTATGTATTTAGAGACAATGTCTTGCTCTGTCACCCAGGCTGGAGTGCAATGGTGCAATCATGGCTTACTGCAGCCTCAACCTCCCGGGCTCAGGTGATCCTCCCACCTCAGTCTCCTGAGTAGCTGGAACCACTGGCTTGCACCACCATGCACAGCTAATTCTTGTTTGTTTGTCTTTAAATTTATTCATTTTAAATTTTATTTTTGTAGAGACAGTTCTCTCTACAAAAATGTTGCCCAGGCTGGTCTCAAATTCCTGGCCTCAAACAATCCTCCTGCCTTGGCCTCTCAAAGTGCTGGGATTATAGGTGTGAGCTTACTGTACCCAGCAAAAATACTTTTATTTAAAAAATTTATTAAAAATTGTAAAATAGGCCAGGTGCGATGGCTCACACCTGTAATCCCAGCTCTTTGGGAGGCCAAGGCAGGCGGATCACCTGAAGTCAGGAGTTTGAGCCCAGCCTGACCAACAAGGAGAAACCCCATCTCTACTAAAAATACAAAATTAGCCGGGTGTGGTGGCACATATCTGTAATACCAGCTACTCGGTATTACAGGCTGAGGAAGGAGAATCGCTTGAGCCCGGGAGGCAGAGGTTGTGGTGAGCCGAGATCGCGCCATTGCACTTCAGCCTGGGCAACAAGAGAGAAACTCCATCTCAAAAAATAAAAAATAAAATAAATAAAATAAAAATAAAAAATTGTAAAATGGGGAATAGGCACAGTGGCTCATGCCTGTAATCCCAGCACTTTGGGAGGCCCAAGCAGGTGGATCACCTGAGGTCAGGAGTTTGAAACCAGCCTAGCCAATGTGATCTTTACTAAAAATACAAAAATTAGCTGGGCATGGTGGTGCACACCTGTAATCCCAGCTTCATGGGAGGCTGAGGCAGGAGAATTGCTTGAACCCAGGAGACGGAGGTTGCCATGAGCCGAGATCGCGCCACTGTACTCCAGCCTGGATGACAGAGCTAGACTCTGTCCCAGAAAAAAAAAAAAAAATTAAAATGGGCACAGTGGCATATGCCTATAATCTCCGTTACTTGGAAAGCTGAGACAGGAGAATCACTTGAGACCAAGAGTTCAAGTCCAGCCTGGGCAACAAAGTGTGACCCCCTCCATCTCTTAAAAAAAAATTAAAAGGCCTGTGAGCACACCATTGCATTCCAGCAGAATTTGTATACGTGTGTATATATACATACACACACATAAATTTTTGAAAACTAAAAAACCAGTTGGGTACAGTAAGTCATATATATTTGTATACATACATACACACACACACACACACACACACACACAGATACATGCATACATGTTCCCAAAACATATATCGTTAATTTTAGTTCTTGTTTTCTTTACTAAAACAGTGTCATTTCCTATGTAATATCCTGGGATTTCTTTTTCACTTTTTGTGTTATATTGTTAAAATTCATCTCAGGCTTGATGCATATAGTTGCATTTATTTCTCGCGGCTGCTATAGACAATTCTAATGTGTGACTATACTAACTTTCATTTTTCCCATGCAACAGAAACTCTTGGTGGCCTGTATTCTTATCCTTGGCCTCTTAGCCCTGAATATATGGTGGCCAGTTTCATGGGAGCCTTCGCTTACAATTTCCGCTGCAAGTGTCAGGTCTTGGGCCTCTCCAATTTCTGTTTCAAGGCCTTTTCAAAGCCATAAGAGCCTACTCAGCCCTCTCACAGGCGTAGTCTGAAAGTAAAGAGAATTAACACAACCTTCAACCAGTGGCAGGTATGAGCCAAGGAATAAATGCCCCAGTCTCCTATCCTTCAGATGGACAATTCTAGGAGGCATTTTTTACACTTTTCAGAGGACTCCAAAAATCAATCACGCCCCCTGCGCTGGCTTTCCCTCCTACCCTACCTCACTCGTTCCTCTCCGTTAGACCTGTTGTCCTCCACACACATCATCAATTCCCAAATACACAACCTGCACCCAAGTCCTTGTCTCAGGCTCTGCTTTTGGGGAACCCAAACTAATACACCCGATTTCCCAATATTGAGCATTGGGTTGTTGCAGATTTCTGTTATTGCAAAAGTGCTACCAAAAACTTTCATGTAAAACCCAACGCTGCTCAAATGCGAGAATTTCTTTTTTTTTTTTTTTTTTTTTGAGACGGAGTCTCGCTCTGTCGCCCAGGCTGGAGTGCAGTGGCGCAATCTCAGCTCACTGCAAGCTCCGCCTCCCGGGTTCACGCCATTCTCCTGCCTCAGCCTCCCGAGTAGCTGGGACTACAGGCGCCCGCCACCACGCCCAGCTAATTTTTTGTATTTTTAGTAGAGACAGGGTTTCACCATGTTAGCCAGGATGGTCTGGATCTCCTGACCTCGTGATCCGCCCGCCTCGGCCTCCCAAAGTGCTGGGATTACAGGCGTGAGCCACCGCGCCCGGCCAATGCGAGAATTTCTTTTTCTTATTTACATAGAAATAGAATTGGTGGTCACAATTCTATTGTGAATGTTCAGCTTCACAAGATAATTTCCAGTTGTTTACCAAAGTGGTTTTGGGGTTTTGTTTTGTTCTGGTTTGATTTTTTTAAACCAATTTACACTTCTAACAACATTGTATATGAGATTCTCTTGATCCACATCCTCTCCAATGCAAGCTATTGTCAGATTTCTTCATTTTTGCCACTCAAATAGACATCAAATGGAATCTCACTGTGGTTTTGACTTGTACCTCTCTGATGATTAATGAAGTTGAATATATCTTTATATGTTTATTGACCATAAATGTTTCATATTCTGAGAAATGCCTTCTCATAGCTTTGTCCACTTTTTTCTATTGGTTCATTGTCCTTTCTTCCTTAATTTTACTATGTTTTTGACAGTTATGGGCTTTTTCTTTGAACTCAAGTGTTCAGAATTGAATTAATCATAATTTTCATGTAATGTGATTTTTTTCCCCTGGTTACAAAAGTAAAGCATGCATGTTATAAAAGAAACAGGTAAAGAGTGCAGACATGTTGAACATAGAAAGAAAAGTCTCCTTTACTCTCAGCTCCACCCCACCTCCAGGCAAGAATAACTCCCATGGACAATTTGTCATTCCATGTCTTTAGATTTTTGTTTTCACATCTCTCTCCCAAATTAGATTGATAGTCTCTCGAGGGTAAAGACTGTATTGTATTCATTTGTGTATTCCCACCCCTAGCATAATGCCTGGTTCAGATCAGGAATGAAATACATTATTGTTGAATGAACTGCTGAAAGACGAGTTAGAACATAGGCTTTGAAGTTAGAAGACTTTGGTTTGCCTGGGGCAGAGAATTCAAGCAGGAGAAAAATGGGAGTACTAGTAAAGTGTGTTGGGCTTTGATTACTGAAAGCCTTGGCTATTGGGCCAGAGTGTTTGATTTTTATGTTGGAGGCAGTGGGGTGAGGGCATTCAAGACTTTTTAGGTAGAGAAAATTATTTATTCATATATGTATGAATTATTCATATTTATATATATATATATTTGTTTGTTTGTTTGTTTGTTTGTTTTAGACAGAGTCTCACTCTGTTGCCCAGGCTGGAGTGCAGTGATGTGATTTTGGCCCACTGAAACCTCTGCCTCCCAGCTTCAAGTGATCCTCCCACCCGAGCCTTCCTACCAGCTGGGATTACAAGTGAGTGCAACTGCACCTGGCTAATTTTTGTATTTTTAGTAGAGATAGGGTTTCACCATGTTGGTCAGGCTGGTCTTGAACTCCTGACTGCAGGTGATCTGCCCGCCTCAGCCTACCAAAGTGCTGGGATTACAGGCATGAGCCACTGTGCCACCTGGCCTATTCTTATGTTTTTACCAGCAACAGAATTAAAATGAGACATTGACAATCTAGTCATCTACTGGCATTGTACAGGATGTGAGGCGGAGGAGAAGGGGGAAAATGAAACTGGAGACAGAAAAATGAATGAATCAAGCAGTTGTGGCCGAATGCGGTGGCTCACACCTGTAGTCCTAGCACTTTGAGAAACCAAAACAGGCAGATCACTTGAGGCCAGGAGTTCAAGACCAGGTTGGGCAACATGGCAAAACCGCATCTCTACAAAAAAATACAAAAAAAAAAAAAAATTAGCCAGGTGTGGTGGCGCACAGCTGTAGTCCCAGCTACTTGGGAGAATCCTTTGAGCCCAGGAGGTTGACCGAGTGAGACCCTGTCTCAAAAGAAAAAAAAAAAAAGTTATTAACTTGGTATGGACACAGACTCCTATGACAAACTCATGAGAACTGTGGCTTCTTTCAGAAAAGTAGCTATAAACCTAAGCCCCTACATTTTTTGAGAATCCCTGGATTAGTGTCTTTTTTTTTTTTTTTTTTTTTTAAGACAGAGTTTTGCTCTGTCGCCAGGCTACAGTGCAGTGGCATGATAGCTCACTGCAACCTCCACTTCTTGGGTTCAAGCGATTCTCATGCCTCAGCCTCCCGAGTAGTTGGGATTACAGGCACGTGCCACCACACCCAGCTAATTTTTGCATTTTTAGTAGAGGCAGGGTTTCACCATGTTGGCCGGGAAGGTCTCAATCTCCTGACCTCATGATCCGCCCGCCTCAGCCTCCCAAAGTACTGGGATTACAGGCGTGAGCCACTGTGCCCAGCCTAGTGAGTCATTCTAAGAGTGAAAGAATAAGAACTTGCAGCATGTATTTATTTAGTCAGACATATTTATTAATCCCCTACTATGTATGTGCAAGGCACTGAGCTGAGTGCTGGGAACAGACACCATCCAGTATGAGGCATGCATTATGGTATGACATAGTGGTCAAGGGCACAGACCCTAAGCCCAGTTCTCTGCCTTCAAACCCCTGCCGGGTGACCTTGTTTAATAAAGCAACTGTACTCCACTTCTGTTTTATAGGGACAATACTGACACCATCCTCATGGGCTGCTGTGAAGATTAAATGAATGCTTCATGAGAGCTTGGGCTTGATGGCAGAAATGAGGGAGGAGAGAGAGGGCAGTAACTATGCGGAGGGCGGATGAGGGCAAGGAAGAATTTTAAAGGATGACAAGATTTTAAAGTAAAGCAGGAGAGGCTGAAGGTGCATCAGTCATGATCTGTTCTGTCCCCTAAGGGGGGCCAAATGGTGGGAGGGGAGAGATCGAGAGCAAACGCAGAGAGGCTGGCTTTAGCTAGGAAGATACTTCCGCTTGTGAGCTGGAGGGGAGGAGTCAAGTGTGGGTGCAGGTGCTGACTCTGAAGTAACCGCAGGCAAGAGGGAAGGAATGTCACCAAGGGGGGAGGGGTGAGGAAAAAGGAAAAGTTGTAACACACTGTCTCAAAGAGGGGATCTAGGAAGATGCAAATGTCAGGGATTATTCAGGACTGGTGAGCTGATAAGGGATACTGATCTGCCTGGTTGGGTAACTTCTGGTGGTCATGGGAGCTACAGGAGAAAAGCATTAAAAAAAAAAAAAAGGTGGGGTGGGGGAAGTGGTGAGTGCAGAATGTCACAGTGGTGAAATCCGGAAGAATAGAGACAGGGGAGGCTGGCCATTGTGGCTCACGCCTGTAATCCAAACACTTTGGGAGGTCAAGGCAGGTGGATTGCTGGAGCCCAGGAGTTCAAGACCAGCCTGGGCAACATGGAGAAACCCAGTCTCAATAAAAAAATTAGCTGGGCATTGTGGCACATGCCTGTAGTCCCAGCTATTTGAGAGGCTGAGGTGGGAGGATTGCTTGAGCCCAGCAGGTGAAGGCTGCAGTGAACCATAATCGTGCCACTGCACTCCTGCCTGGGCGACAAAGTGAGACCCTATCTCAAATAAAAAAAGAAAAGAAAGAGTTGGCCGGGCACGGTAGCTCACACCTGTAATCCCACTGCTTTGGGAAGCCAAGGCAGGCGATCACCTGAGGTCAGGAGTTCAAGACCAGCCTGGCCAACGTGGTGAAACCCTATCTCTACTAAAAAATACAAAAATTAGCCGGGCATGGTGGTAGGCACCTATAATCCCAGCTATTTAGGAAGCTGAGGCAGGGAGAATTGCTTGAACCTGGGAGGCAGAGGTTGCAGTGAGCCAAGATCACGCCACTGCACTCCAGACTGGGCAACAGAGTGAGACTCTCTCTCAGAAAAAAAAAAAGCGGGGGGGGGATTTGCTGGATTTGCCAACCCACTGGTCTTTACTGAAGTATCTTAAGGGTCACTAAAGTGTCACAGCAGGTGACTCATGGCAGAGAAGAAAAGGGAGAAAGAACAGTGAGGCAGTAAACCACATGCAATCTGAGAACACTGACTTTGCAATGAAAGGGAAAAGTAAGACATTAACCAGAAAGAATAACAGAGTGAAATGAGGTATATTTCTTTCTAAAGGTCAGAAAAGCTGTACTACTGCTATTTCTTCTTCTTCTTCTTCTTCTTCTTCTTCTTCTTCTTCTTCTTCTTCTTCTTCTTCTTCTTCTTCTTTTCTTCTTCTTTTTTCTCCTTCTCCTTCTCCTTCCCCTTCTCCTCCTCCTTTTCCTTCTCTTCTTCCTTCTTCCTTCTTCTAAGGTAAAGGCAGCAGTTGTAGAGCTGGCAGGAGAGGGAGGAATAGGGCTTCAAAAACTTAGCTGGAGGCCATGAGCAGTGGCTCACACCTATAATTCCAGCACTTTGGGAGGCCGAGGTGAGCTGATCACTTGAGGCCAGGAGTTCAAGACCAGCCTGGCCAACATGGCAAAACTGCATCTACTAAAAATACAAAAAACAAAACAAAACAAAACAAAAATTAGCTGGGCACTGGACTCCAGACTGGGTGACAGAGCAAGACGCTATCTCAAAAAAAAAAAAAAAAAAGTCAACTGGAGTATGATGCCAGCATAATACTATTGTAATTAGCTTCTGTGGGCCAGACATTTTCCATAAGAATATGTTATTCCCAATTTACAGAGGAGGAAACTGAGGCTCAGAGAAGCTAAGTCATTCGCCCAAGATCACACTGCTAGTCAATGGCAGAGTTAGGATTTGAGCCCAGGTCATATGACTCCAAAACACCAAAGCTTGCCTGCCTAATACCAGAGACAAGCAGAAATGTTAGCACTTTGAGGGAGAGGGGATACTTCTGTCCGCACCGAGGAAGGAAGAAAGGATTGGAAGAAACATATATACTAATGATTTATGTTCATTTATTATTTAGAATTATTCTCCTTCCCACACGAATATATAAGCATATAGATTTTTAAAAATTTCTTTTGATTTATTTGTTTTTGGTTTTGTTTTTGAGATGGAGTCTTACTCTGTTGCCCAGGCTGGAGTGCAATGGCACGATCTCAGCTCACCGCAACCTCTGCCTCCCAGGTTCAAGCGATTCTCATTCCTCAGCCTCCCGAAAAGCTGGGATTACAGACACCCGTCACCATGAGCGGCTAATTTTTTTGCATTTTTAATAGAGACGGGGTTTCACCATGTTGGCTAGGCTGGTCACGAACTCCTGACCTCAAGTGGTCCACCCACCTTGGCCTCCCAAAGTGCTGAGATTATATGGGTGAGCCACCACGCCTGGCCAATTTTTTAAATTTCTTTTGAGACAGGGTCTTGCTCTGTCACCCAGGCTGGAGTGCAGTGGTGCAAACACAGCTCACTGCCACCTCAGACTACTGGGCTCCAGTGATCCTCCTGCCTCAGCCTCCCAAGTAGCTGCGACTACCAATGTGTACCACCACACCAAGCTAATTTTTGACATTTTTAGTAGAGATGGGTTCTCACTATGTTGCTCAGGAGAGTCTTGAACTCCTGAGCTCAAAAGATCTTCCCACCTCAGCCTCCCAAAGTGCTGGGATTACAGGCGTGAGCCACCATGCTTGGCTGAAAGCATATAGATTTTTTTTAAGTTGGCATGATCGGTTTACATGACCAAGCACCTTTAAAAAAAAAAAAAAAGGCAGGCTGGGGATGATGGCTCATGCCTGTAATCCCAGCACTTTTGGAGGCTGAGGTGGATGGATCACTTTGAGGTCAAGAGTTCAAGACTAGCCTGCTCAACGTAGTGAAACCTCTGTCACTACTAAAAATAAAAAAATTTAAAAAATTAGCTGGGTGTGGTGGCAGGTGCCTGTAATCCCAGCTACTTGGGAGGCTGAGGCAGAAGAATCACTTGAACCCAGTAGGCAGAGGTTGCACTGAGCCGAGACCATGACATTGCACTCCAGCCTGGGCAACAAGAGTGAAACTCCATTTCAAGGAATATATGTATATATGTACAAAAAAATAGCCAGGCGTGGTGGCAGATGCCTGTAATCCCAGCTATGTGGGAGGCTGAGGCAGGAGAATTGCTTGAGCCCGGGAGGGAGAGGTTGCAGTGAGCTGAGATTGTGCCACTGCACTCCAGTCTGGGCAATAAAGTGAGACTCTGTCTCCAAAAAAAAAAGAAAAAAAAAAACCCAATGCAAAAAATTGGCATGATACAGGAAGTCTGACTTTACATAGAAGAAAATTCAGGCAAAGAACCAAGCTGAACTTTTGTGGTCAGAGAATGAACTGGACATGGCCAAGAATGTTAAAGCTGAGTATTTAGAACAGTGGTGTGGCTAATTGATTCACCCAGTCCTCTATCCAAATGGTTGCTTCATAGGAGAATCAATCCTCCCTTAAATACTCCCTTAATTCAAGAGAATGGAGGGGAAAATAGTTTGCATATATTGGCAAGTTGTTTATTGCAACTACAAGGATTTTTGTGATGTATGTCTCATCTATCAATATTTTCTGATGAGTGATTTCAAAATATCTGTCTAAAGAACAGACCTAGGCCAGGCGCGGTGGCTCACGCCTGTAATCCCAGCACTTTGGGAGGCCGACGCGGGCGGATCACGAGGTCAGGAGATCAAGACCATCCTGGCTAACACGGTGAAACCCCGTCTCTACTAAAAATACCAAAAATTAGCTGGGCGTGGTGGCGGGTGCCTGTAGTCCCAGCTATTCAGGAGGCTGAAGCAGGAGAATGGCGTGAACCCGGGAGGCAGAGTTTGCAGTGAGCTGAGATTGCGCCACTGCCCTCAAGCCTGGGCGACAAAGCAAGACTCCGTCTCACAAAAAAAAAAAAAAAAAAAAAAAAGAACAGACCTCATTTATATTTGCCAAACTCTCACATGCAAAAAATGCAGAAAAAACCAAAACCAAATCATAAAGCAAAGGGAACTGTACAGTTTCGTGGGCAGGTCACAGGCTAGAACCAGAGACATAAAAACTGACAGCCATGGTGAGCAAATTGGACAAACAGGACCCAAGGACTAGGACATGGTGAGGGGTCACTCCTGCTGCTATACCAATGCTCTAACCCCAGCGGTGACACCAAAAGGTGTTGAAAAAATGCCAAGGTTCAAGGGCATCTAGTAGACCAGGAAAGTACTGGAAAAGCAGATCTGAGCAAAAAGGAGGTCGCCATCTGACTCAGCTTGCAAATCAACCTCTACATGCCAAGCCCACCTATTTCTCAGGAAAATCCTGTTTATCACAACATACTTGGTATAAAAATATGATGAAAGTGAGGCCAGGTGCCGTGACTCACGCCTGTAATCCCAGCACTTTGGGAGGCCAAGGCGGGCAGATCACCTGAGGGGAGGAGTTCGAGACCAGCCTGGCCAAGATGGGAAACTCCATCTCTACCAAAAGTACAAAAAATTAGCCAGATATGGTGGGGCATGCCTGTAGTCCCAGCTACTCAAGAGGCTGAAGCAGGAGAGTTGCTTGAACCTGGGAGGCAGAGGTTGCAGTGAGCCGAGATCATATCACTGCACTCCAACCTGGGCAACAGAATGAGACTCCATCTTTAAAAAAAAAAAAAATTGGCCGGGCATGGCTCATGGCTGTAATCCCAGCACTTTGGGAGGCCAAGGCGGGTGGATCACCTGAGATCAGGAGTTCAAGAACAGCCTGACCAACATGGTGAAACCCTGTCTCTACTAAAAATACAAAAATTAGCCCATGTGGTGGCACATGTCTGTAATCCCAGCTACTCAAGAGGCTGAGCCAGAAGAATCACTTGAACCCAGGAGGCTGAGACCGCACCATTGCACTCCAGCCTGGGCAACAAGAGCAAAACTCTGTCTCAAAAAAAAAAAAATTAAATTAAATTAAATTAAAATTAAAAATTAGGTCAGGCATAATGGTTCACACCTGTAATTCCGCCACTTTTTGAGGCCAAGGCAGGTGGATTAACTGAGCTCAGGAGTTCAAAAGCAGCCTGGGCAACATGGGGAAAACCCATCTCTACAAAAAATACAAAAAATTACTTAGGTGTGGTGGTGCGCACCTGTAGTCCCAGCTACTTGGGATTTCTTGAGCCCGGGAGATTGACTGCAGTGAGCTGTGATTGCACCACTGCACTCCAGCCTATGCAATAGAGCAAGACCCTGTCTAAAAAAAAAAAAAATTTTTTTTAACTCGTTGGACCTGGTGGCATGTGCCTGTAGACCCAGCTATTTGGGAGGCTGGGCCTGAGGCTGCAATG
Source organism: Homo sapiens (assembly GCF_000001405.40). Taxonomy (NCBI): domain Eukaryota; kingdom Metazoa; phylum Chordata; class Mammalia; order Primates; family Hominidae; genus Homo; species Homo sapiens. Next base: position 84,730,029 of record NC_000015.10, on the reverse strand, counting down.
AGCTTTAATCACATCACTGCACTTCAGCCTGGGCAACAGAGTTAGACTCTGTCTCTAAAAAATAAATAAATATGTAATATAAAAAACAAATGAAGTTAATTTTGATAATATACTTTTCTCAATATATCAAAAGTATTACCTGCACAGCAAAAGAAATAATCAACAGAGCAAACAAACAACCTACAAAATGGGAGAAAATATTTGCAAATTATTCATCTGACAAAGGACTAATATCCAGAGACTATAAGGAACTCAAACAACTCAACGACAAAAACAAATAACCTCCTTAAAAAGTAGGCAAAGAACACAAACAAACATTTCTCAAAAGAAGACACACAAGCAACCAACAACATATGAAAAAATACTCTACATCACCAATCATCAGAAAAATGCTAATTAAAACCACAATGAGATACCATCTTACACCAGTCAGAATGGATATTATTAAGCCAGGCATGGTGGCTCATGCCTGTAATCCCAGCACTTTGGGAGGCTGAGGTGAGAGGATTGCTTAAGCCCAGGAGTTTGAGATCATCCTGGGCAACACAGGGAGACCCCATCTCAACAAAAAATAAATTTAATTGGCTGGGTACAGTGGCTCACACCTGTAATCCCAGCACTTTGGGAGGATTATACTAAGTGAAATAACTCAGAAACAGAAAATCAAATAGTAAATGTTCTCATTTACAAGTGGGAACTGAACAATGGGCATACACGGATAGAAAGATGGAAATAATAGACAATGGAGCCTCTAAAAGCGGGGAGAGATGAGAAAAATGAGGAAGGGAGATGAGAGTTGAAAAACTACCTACTGGGACCATGTTTACTATTTGGGCAATGGGTACACTAGCATCCTAAACCTCTCCATTATGCAATATATCCATGTAACAAACCCATACATGTATTCCTTGAATCTATAGTAAAAGAAGAGGAACAGAGTTGTACTTGAGAATAGTAGTTAATGAGCATTGTTTTTCTAAATTGATGGTTTTAGAGCAGTCCACTAGCATAAGCCCATGTCATGTGACCAATGCCATGTGTTCTTTTTGTTTTGTATTTAAAAAACAAAAAAGTACTGCTGGGCACAGTGGCTCGCGCCTATAGTCCTTGCACTTTAGGAGGCCAGGGCAGGAGGACTGCTTGAGGCCATGAGTTCAAGACCTGCTTGGGCAACATACCAAGACCTTGTCTATAAATTAGCCAGGTGTGATGGCTAATATTGAGCGTCAACTTGATTGGATTGAAGGATGCAAAGTATCATTCCTTGGTGTGTCTGTGAGGGCGTTGCCAAAGGAGGTTAACACTTGAGTCAGTGGACTGGGAGAGGAAGACCCACCCTTAATCTGAGTGGGCACCATCACCTTGGCTGCCAGCACAGCTAGAAAAAGCAGAAGAGGGCCGGATGCAGTGGCTGACACCTGTAATCCTAGCACTTAGAGAGGCCGAGACGAGCAGATCACAAAGTCAGGAGTTTGAGACAAGCCTGGCCAATATGGTGAAACCCTCGTGTCTACTAAAAATACAAAAATCAGCCAGGCGTGGTGGTGGGCGTCTGCAGTCCCAGCTACTCTGGAGGCTGAGGCAGGAGAATCGCTTGAACCCGGGAAGCAGAGGTTGCAGTGAGCCGAGATCATGCCACTGCACTCCAGCCTGAGCAACAGAGCAAGATTCTGTCAAAAAAAGAAAGAAAGAGGAGAGGAGAAGAGAAAAGAAAAAGAAAAAGAAAAAGCGGAAGAAAGTGGAATGAACAGACTTGCTGAGTCTCCTGACCTTCATCTTTCTCCAGTGCTGAATGCTTCCTGCCCTCGGACACCTCAGCTTTTGGACTCCTGGACTTACGTCAGTGGTTTGCCAGGGGCTCTTGTGCCTTCTGCCACAGACTGAAGCTGCAGCTTTTCTACTTTTGAGGTTTTGGGACTCAGGATGGTTTTCTTGCTCCTCAGCTTGCAGGCGGCCTGTTATGGGACTTCACCTTGTGATCGTGTGAGCCAATACTCCTTTTTTTTTTTTTTTGAGCTGGAGTTTCGCTCTTGTCACCTAGGCTGGAGTGCAATGGCACAATCTCGGCTCACTGCAATCTCCACCTCCCGGGTTCAGGCAATTCTCCTACCTCAGCTTCCCAAGTAGCTGGGACTGCAGGCATGCACCACCATGTCCGACTAATCTTGTATTTTTAGTAGAGACGAGTTTTCACCATGTTGGCCAGACTGGTCTCAAACCCCTGACTTCAGGTAATCAGCCTACCTCAGTCTCCCAAACTGCTGGGATTATAGGCATGAGCCACCGCGCCTGGCCCAGTACTCCTTAATAAACTCCCTTTCATATATACATCTATGCTATTAGTACTGTCCATCTAGAGAACCCTGACTAATACACCAGGCATGATGGCATGCGCCTGTAGTCCTGGCTACTCTGCAGGCTGAGGTGGGAGGATCGCTAGAGCCCAAGAGTTGGAGTTTGAGGCTGCGGTGAGCTATGATCCAGCCACGGCACTCCAGCCTAGTCAAGAGAGATCTTGCTTCAAAAAAAAAAAAAAAAGTATGATCATCCCTTCTTGAAATCAGTGTAATTGGTAGTTTATATTCTTTTTTCATACCAAGTCTTCCATATCTAGGATGTATTTATCAATTGCAGTACATCTCAATTTGGACTAAGCCTCATTTCAAGTACTCACGAGCCCCATGTGGTGAGTGGCTATTGTGTTGGACAGTTCAGACATAGAAACCACTCTTAGCATTTCAGCATTAGAGTATTTTCTTTGTACTTTTTTTCTCTTTTCTTCCTTCCTTCTTTTTTTCTTTGAAAACATGTTTAATTGGGTAAGCTGGATTTTGAAGGAAGTGAGGAAAATTCATATTCTGAGAGTCTCTAGTTTTAAATTTTAAGTGTTTCCAGTACAGCTCTCCATTGTTTGTTTTTAAGTGTTTTTGTTTGTTTGTTTGTTTTTTGTGACAGAGTTCTGCTCTGTCACCCAGGCTGGAGTGCAGTGGCACAGTCTCATCTCACTGCAACCTCTGCCTCCCAGGTTCAGGCAATTCTCCTGCCTCCGCCTCCTGAGTAGCTGGGATTACAGGTGCACGCCACCATGTCCGGCTAATTTTTGTATTTTGTAGAGACGGGGTTTCACCATGTTGGCCAGGCTGGTCTTGAGCTCCTGACCTCAGGTGATCCGCCTGCCTCAGCCTCCCAAAGTGCTGGGATTACAGGCATGAGCCACCATGCCTGGCCCTATTTTTACTTTTTTAAGATGGGGTCGGGCTCTGTCACCCAGGCCGGAGTGCAGTGGTGCAATCTTGGCTCACTGCAGCCTTGACCTCCTGGCTCAAGCGATCCTCCCACCTCAGCCTCCCAAATATCTGGGACTACATATGTGTGCCACCACACCCGGCTAATTTTTGTATTTTTTGTAGATACGGCATTTCACTATGTTGCCCAGGCTGGTTTCAAACTCTTGAGCTCAAGTGATCTGCCCATGTTGGCCTACCAAAGTGCTGGGATTCCAGGCGTGAGCCACCGTGCCCTGCTGTTTGTTTGTTTTTAAAAACTCAGGTGTGGCCGGGTGCTGGTGGCTCACGCCTGGAATCCCAGCACTTTGGGAGGCCGAGGTGGGCGGATCATGAGGTCAAGAGATGGAGACCATCCTGGCCAACACTGTGAAACCCCTTCTCTACTAAAGATACAAAAATTAGCTGGCCGTAGTGGCACACGCCTGTACTCCCAGCTACTTGGGAGGCTGAGGCAGGAGAATCGCTTGAACTCGGGAGGCAGAAGTTGCAGTGAGCTGAGATCGCACTACTGCACTCCAGCCTGGGCAATAGTGAGAGACTCCATCTCGATAAAACAAAACAAAACAAAACTAGGTGCACAGATTCTTTTGGGAAGATAAAAAGGCAGGAGAAGCCAGACGTGGTGGCTCATGCCTGTAATCCCAGCACTTTGGGATCACAAGTTCAAGAGATCGAGACCATCCTGGCCAACATGGTAAAACCTTGCCTCTACTAAAAATACAAAACTTAACTTGGTGTGCTGGCGCGCGCCTGTAGTCCCAGCTACTCGGGAGGCTGGGGCAGGAGAATTGCTTGAACTTGGGAGGCGGATGTTGCAGTGAGCCGAGATTACACCACAGCACTCCAGCCTGGGCCGCAGAGCGAGACTCCATCTCAAAAAAAAAGAAAAAACGCAGGAGAATGTGTTGCAGGTGCTGCTGATGAACACTCATTTCCTTTTATTCATTTGTTCATTTCTTTTCTCTCTCTTTTTATTTTTTATTTTTTGAGACAGGGTCTCACTCTGTTGCCCAGGCTTTAGTACACGTAGCTATTTTTTTTCTCATTTTTTGTAGAGATGGGCCTCCCTATGTTGTCCAGGCTGGTCTTGAACTCCTGGGCTCCAGCAATCCTCCTGCCTCAGCCTCCCAAAGTGCTGGGATTACAGGCATGAGCCATTACACCTGACCCATTTTTTCTCCTAGCAGCAGTTACTGGACATCAACTATGGGCCAGGGACTGCAACTTGGGATAGCTTTACAGACATGTTGCCTGGCTTGTGAAGCCTACAATTTACCAGAAGAGCCAGACAAGTAATGACAATAAAATGTGATAAGTGTTGTGATAGGGGAAGAATGAAGGGCTCAGTGGCTGCCTGGGAGAATAATTTAAGCCATTTTGGGAGATAAGAGAAGGCTTTGGTTGTTGGGGGTGGAGGGAATGATGTCTAAGATGGAACCTAAAGATTAAGTAAAGAATGGCTAAGCAAAGGGGAGAAATAAGGGCTAGAGAATGCCAGAAAGAGTGGCTTTAAGGAATGCCCAGAGCCTTTTGGGGAACTGAAAGAAGTTATGTGTGGTTAGGGCCTCCAGGGTGAGGGGTGAGGCTGGTATTGTGCATTATTCTCTGGGCAGCCTAGTTAACAGTGGGAGTTGGGAGGCAGGATGTTGACAAATCTGGACTAGGCAGGCCCAACACAGGAAGTACTCCACCCCAAAAATATTCGTTCACCAGTTCAGTTTGAGTTCACCAGTTATAGACCCAAATGTGTTAATGAGCTTTTCTTTAGGACAGCAAGAATCTCTGGTGAGGCACTGACACCTTATTTTAGATTCAGAAGATTGAACATGATAGAAGTTCCATGTAATAAGGGACATATAAAAATACTGGCCGGGCGCGGTGGCTTATACCTGTAATCCTAGCACTTTGGGAGGCCAAGACGGGTGGATCACGAGGTCAGGAGATCGAGACCATCCTGGCTAACACGGTGAAATCCTGTCTTTACTAAAAATACAAAAAATTAGCTGGCCTGGTGGCGGGTGCCTGTAGTCCCAGCTACTGGGAAGGCTGAGGCAGGAGAATGGCGTGAACCCGGGAGGTGGAGCTTGCAGTGAGCCGAGATGGCGCCACTGCACTCCAGCCTGGGCGACAGAGCGAGACTCCGTCTAAAAAAAAAATACGTATAGGCCGGGTGCGGTGGCTCATGCCTGTAATCCCAGCACTTTGGGAGGCCGAGGCAGGCAGATCACCTGAGGTCAGGAGTTCAAGACCAGCCTGGCCAACATGGTGAAACCCCGTCTTTACTAAAAATACAAAAATTAGCCAGGCATGGTGGCAGGTGCCTGTAATCCCAGCTACTCGGGAGGCTGAGGCAGGAGAATTGCTTAGAATCCAGGGGGAGGAGGTTGCAGTGAGCCGGGATCGAGCCACTGCACCCCAGCCTAAGTGACAGAGTGAGACTCTGTCTCAAAAAAAAAAAAAAAAAAAAGTACATATAAAATATAGGTATGGGGGCCAGGCGCGGTGCCTCACGCCTGTAATCCCAGCACCTTGGGAGGTCGAAGCGGGTGGATCACCTGAGGTCAGGAGTTTGAGACCAGCCTGGCCAACATGATGAAACCCCATCTCTACTAAAAATATAAAAAATTAGCCGGATGTGGTGGCTGGCGCCTGTAATCCCAGCTCAGGAGGCTGAGGCAGGAAAATCGCTTGAACCCGGGAGGCAGAGGTTGCAGCGAGCCAAGATCAAGTCACTGCACTCTAGCCTGGGCAACAAGAGTGAAAACTCCATCTCAAAAAAAAAAAAAAATAGATAGATAGAAAGATATGGCCGGGCACAATGGCTCACACTTATAATCCCAACACCTTGGGATGCTGAGGTGGGAGGATTGCTTGAACCCAGGAGCTCAAGATCAGTCTGGGCAACATAGCAAGAACCCATCTCTACAAAAAATAAAAACATTAACCAGGTGCCGTGGCACCTGCCTCTAGTGTCAGCTATTCAGGAGGCTGAGGTGAGAGGATTGCTTGAACCCAGGAGGTAGAGGCTGCAATGAGCTGTAATCACACCACTGCACTCCAGCCTGGGTGACAGAGGGAGACCCTGTCTCAAAAAAAAAAAGAAAAAAGAAAAAAAAGAAACAGGTGAGGAACTAATGAAAAGGCAATTAACTCTGACTTGGGGCGGTCTGGACAGGCTTCACGTAGGATATGACACCTAGACAGGGTCTGGAAGAGAAGCAGGAGTTTGTCAGCCCTCTAAGTGGGAGGACATTCTGATAATAACCATGATTTACTGATTTACTAAGTGTCAGGCACTGTTCTGGTGGTATATTGTTTTGTTTTGTTTCGTTTTTTTGAGATGGAGTCTCGCTCTGTTGCCCAGGCTGGAGTGCAATGGCACGATCTCGGCTTACTTCAACCTCTGCCTCCCAAGTTCAAATGACTTTCCTGCCTCAGCCTCCCAAGTAGCTGGGATTACAGGTGCATACCACCATGCCCGACTAATTTTTTTTTTTTTTGTATTTTTAGTAGAGACGAGGTTTCACCATATTGGCCAGGCTGGTCTTGAACTCCTGACCTTGTGATCTGCTCACCTCAGCCTCCCAAAGTGCTGGGATTACAGGTGTGAGCCACCACACCCGCTGTTTGGTTTGTTTTTAGAGAGACAGGGGTCTTGTTCTGTCACCCAGGCTGGAATGCAGTGGTTGGATCATAGCTCACTGTGGCTTTGCACTCCTGGGCTTAACTGATCCTCCTGCCAGGGCCTCTCAAAGTGCTGGGATTACAGGTGTAAGACACTGCACCTGGCTCTAGTGGGTTTTATTCATTAGCTCACTTAATCCTTTTTTTTTTTTTTTTTTTTGAGACAGGGTCTTGCTCTGTCTCCCAGGCTGGAGTGCAGTAGTGCAACCATGGCTCACTGTAGCCTCAACCTCCCGGGCTCAATGGATCTTCCCACCTCAGCTTCCTGAGTAGTTGGGACTTCAGGCATGTGCCAACATGCCTAACTAATTTTTGCGTTTTTTGTAGAGACAGGGTTTCACCATGTTGCCCAGGCTGGTCTCAAACTCCTGGCCTCAGCAATCCACCTACCTTGACCTCCCAAAGTGCTAGGATTGTAGGCATCAGCCACTGCACCCAGACTAGCTCACTTAATTCTAATAATAATAATTTAAAAAACCCTGGGTGCTAAAATATCTGTTTACAGATGAAGAAATGGAGGCATATAGAGGTAAAGTAACTCATCTAGAGTCACACAGTAAGGGTTAGAGCAGTTTGGCTCCAGAGATCACTTCTTTAATTCCTATGACATATGCTGGAGTATAGATGGTTGAGTATGTCTGGACTATAGGGTAACAAGTTGGCAAGGAACGTCAGATATCAAGTTGATGAAAGAGGCAGTAGCCTGCTGGGAGCAGTGGCTCACGCCTGTAATCCCCAGCACTCTGAGAGGCCAAGACAGGTGGATCACCTGAGGTCAGGGGTTTGAGACCAGCCTTACCAACATGGTGAAACCCTATCTCTACTAAAAATACAAAAATTAGCTAGGTATGGTGGTGCACATCTGTAATCCCAGCCACTCGGGAGGCTGAGGCACAAGAATCGCTTGAACCTGGGAGGGGGAGGTTGCAGTGAGCTGAGATCATGCCACTGCCCTCCAGCCTGGGTGACTAAAAGAAAAGGAGAGGAGGCAGTAGCCAAATCACACAGATTCAGCGTGAGTACCTTGAAGAGAGGCTCTTAGGAGACTTTAGGTAAATATTTTAAAGTACTTGAATGTATATATAAATGATTGCTAATGAATGTGATTGTATTCTGGATATCCATATCCAGATTTACACAAGCCACATTTCCAGTGGTGATTAACTGCCTCAACAGATTCCTATAGGATCCCTTAACCTATCAAGAGGGATATCAAGAGCCAATTCCCTGTCATTAACTATGAGATCCAAGAGCTCAAAAGGCAACTTTTCCAAGAGGGAGGAGGTGCAGGCCCAGTTAGAGGGAAGAGGCTAAGGGTGTCCCCACTCTTGATCCTCTACCCACACGACATCCACATTCACAACAGGGATCTCTCCTCTCTAAGGACTCACAAAACAAACATCAAGGCCCCTTTCTTCTTCAGCTAAAGCAGTATAGCCAAGCAGGAAATTGATGGGTCCTCCCCAACCCCCATCACATATACGCACATACCAACCCAGAAGGCTGGTGCTTCCCTCTTACAGCTGTCCCTGCAGCTGTCTGGGACTTTTTAAAGAGAGCTTTCCAAAAATCTTCCAGGGAGACTTGGGTGACTCCAGTAATCTCTCTGCACAGAAGGTGCCTTTGATTTTTGAGAATGACATTTCTGTCATCCCATCCTATACAGAGCTGCTACATCTTTTAAAACCTTGGTCTCTGATGTCCATAGCCACTGGGTTGGTAGGCAGAAAGTTCCCATCTCTGCATCCACCTGACCTGACCTCAGGCAGCCCCCAGCAAACTGAGATAGATCCTTGTGGGAGATGGCACCAGGGAAGAGCCACATCTCCAGTGTGGCCTATGCACCAGCTTGCTGTGATATGCCTGGGCCACTTCCTTTTCTGGCAGGGTCATAGAGGACCTTCTGCTTCTACCCACCACTTCCTACATTGAGAAGGTGAAGGAGAAACTGGTAAGATTATAATTATTTTTAATAGAGTTTTAAAAACATGAAGTCAGGCCGGGTGCGGTGGCTCATGCTTGTAATTCCAGCACTTTGGGAGGCCGAGGGGGGCAGATCACCTGATGTTGGGAGTTCGAGACCAGCCTGACTAACATGCCGAAACCCTGTCTCTACTAAAAATAAAAAATAAATAAATAAATAAATAAATAGCCAGGCGTGGTTGCGCATGCCTGTAATTCCAGCTACTTGGGAGGCTGAGGCAGGAGAATCACTTGAGCCCAGGAGGCAGAAGTTGCGGTGAGCCGAGATTACACCATTGCACTCCACTCCAGCCTGGGCAACAATAACAACAACAAAAAAACCCACATGACGTCTACTTTGCTTCTGCTGGTAGAGACCCTTGATTTGTACAGAAGTGGTTAACCAGGGCTCAACCATAATGACAGACCTTCCTAGCCTAGAATTTGTGTATCAGTTTGAACCCACTTCTTGTTTTGAATAATTATTAAATTCTTTGTCCACTTACCATTTGTCATCCATTGTGACAACAGCTTTATTTATTTATTTATTTATTTTATTTATTTTTTGAGATAGAGTCTCTCTTTGTCGCCAAGACTGGAGTGCAGTAGCACAATTATGGCTCACTAAGGGATCAACTTTCAGGACTCAATCGATCCTCCTGACTCAGCCTCCCGAGTAGCTGGAACTACAGGCATGTGTCCCCACACCTGGCTAATTTTTAAAATTTTCTGTAGAGATGAGGCTTCCACTATGTTGCCCAGGTTGGTCTCGAACTCCTGGGCTCGAGTAATCTGCCCACCTTGGCCTCTCAAAGTATTGGGATTACAGGCGTCAGCCACCATGCCCAGCCCCCAACAGCCTTATTTACATGTACTATTTTGTTAAATCCTCAAATGACATAAATTCTTTTCTATTCCTACTTTACACACCAGAAAACTAGGGATTAAAAAATTGCTAACTGAGTTGGGCATGGTGGCATGCGCCTGCAGTCCCAGCTACTTGGGAGGCTGAGTGGGAGGATTGCTTGAGCAATCTAGGCTTCAGTGGTCTAGGCTTCAGTGAAGGGTGATCACATCACTGCACTCCAGCCTGGGTGACAGAGTGAGACTCTGTCTGTAGAAACATTAAATTAAATAAATTTTTTTGGAAAAAGAGTTAACTAATTGGTCCAAGATCAAACAGCTGGCAATTGATCTGTGATTCAAAGCCAAGTGGGTCTAACTTAACTTCTATACTAAGATGCTTCCTTCAGGGGGGCCAGCAGGCTCTCTGTAAAGGAAAATGCCAGACATAACACTGTGATTGACAGGGCCCAAAAGACTTATGTGTCAGAAAGATTGCCATCCCAGTCGGCAGAGAAAATAGCATGTCAGAGTCCCACATTTGGAAAATTGAATTCCTTAGGCTTTATATCAAGTCTGGGATCACCTGTCCTAAATATCTGAATTATTTTCATAAGAGACACCGAGCAGTATAAGAAACCTCATTAAGCCTTTGCAGATCCTCCTAGTTTATATCACTCTCCCCTGGTCCCGTTCCTTTCTCATGCATTCTTTTTTTTTTTAAGACAGAGTCTCACTCCATTGCTCAGGCTGGAATGCAATGGTGTGATCTTGGCTCACTGCAACCTCTGCCCCCCGGGATCAAGCGATTTTCCTGCCTCAGCCTCCGAGTAGCTGGGACTACAGGCACCTGCCACCATGCCTGGCTAAGTTTTGTATTTTTAGTAGAGACGGGGTTTCACCATGTTGGCCAGGCTGGTCTCAAACTCGACCTCAGGTGATCCATCTGCCTCGGCCTCCCAAAGTGCTGGGATTACAGACATGAGCCACCGTGCCTGGCCTAATTTTTAGTTTTAGTAGAGCAGAGGTCTCACTTTGTTGTCCAGGCTGGTCTTGAACTCCTGGGCCAAAGGGATCTTTCCCCCTTGGCTTCTCAAAGTGCTGGGATTACAGGCGTGAGCCACCGTGCCTGGCCTGACACCCTTTTTAAGCTCCCCACAAGCCTCCCCAACTGAACTGACTTTTGCCACATCTGAAACTCCACAGGACTTTACGCCTCTCTTAGGGCTCTTTTCTACACATTACAAGATTGATACTCATTTAAATAGTTGCTGGCGCTCACTTTTAGATTTGAATTCAACATTAATAGGCATAGGCCAAGGGTTCTACTAGCGAGAATTTAGACTAGAACCCATATTTAACATTTATTAACAAATACTTATTGAGTGTCTGCTACATGTCTGGTACTCTTATGGAAGCTGGAGATAAAGGGGTGGACAAGACAATGTCCCTGTCCTCATGGAGTTCACATGTATTTTCTTCCACAAGTCTTCCTAAATTGGATAAATTAGGAATTTTTTTTCAACTCAATAAGTGTGGGGTGCCTAGAGGCAGCAGTTTTTGGAGGTGACAAAAATACACACACACACACACACACACTTTTAAATTCAACAAGTATTTATTGGGTATAACATGTGCTAGGCTATGTGTTCACCACTAGGAATTTAACAGTGAGCCAGACACCAGTGGTTTCTTTTTCTTTCTCATAATAGCTTTATTGTGATATAATACACATACCATACAATTCACCAGTGTAAAGTGTACAATTTAATGGTTTTGAGTATATTCACATAGTTGTAGAACTAGCATCCCCTAAAAGAAACTCCATACCCATTAGCAGCCACTCCCCATTTTCCCCAACTCTCCCAGCCCTAGGCAACCACTGATTTCCATCTCTGTGGATTTGTCTATTCTAGATATTTCACCTAAATGGAATCATGCAATGCTTTGTCTTTTGTGACTGGATCCTTTCACTAAATCTGTTTCAAGGGTCATTCATGTTGTAGTATTTCCTTTTGTTGCCAGATTAATATTCCATTGTACCAGCGGAATTATTAGTACATTATTCCAATATACCACATTTATTTATCCCTTCATTAGTTGATAAACATTTCAGTTATTTCCACTTTTTAGCTATTATGAATAATGCTGCTGTGAACATTCATGTACAAGTTTTTGTGTGGACAAACGTTTTCAATTTTCTTGGGTATATACCTAGCAGTGGAATTGCTGGTTAATATGGTGATTCCATCTTTAACCTTTTTTTGTTTGTGTGTTTTGAGATAGGGTCTCACTTTGTCGCCCAGGTTGGAGTGCAGTGGCACGATCTCGGCTCACCGCAAACTCTGCCTCCTGGGTTCAAGCGATTCTCCTGCCTCAGCCTCCCCAGTAGCTGAGATTACAGGTGCCCACCACCACACCCGCCTAATTTTTGTATCTTTAGTAAAGACGGGTTTTCACCATGTTGGCCAGGCTAGTCTGGAACTCCTGACCTCAGGTGATCTGCCTGCCTCAGCCTCCCAAAGTGCTGGGATTACAGGCATGAGCCACTGCAGACGGCACATCTTTAACCTTTTGAGCAACTGCAGCTATTTCCCAAAGTGGCTGCACCATTTTACATTCCCACCAGCAGTATATGAGGGTTCCAATTTCTTCACATCTTCCCCTAAACTTATTATTATTTGTCTTTTTTATTACAGCCATCCTCCAATAAATTCAAGTTTTTATTTTGGAATGACTTTCCATTTAAAGAATTTCGAGGATACTACAAAGAGTTCCAGTATATCCTTCATTCATCTTTCCCTAATGGGAGAGAAGGATTATTTTGAAAAAAAAAAAAAAAAAAAAAAAAGAGAGAGAAATGATACCAAGTAATCCAGCTTTAGTCTTTGTTGACTGAAGTGCGTATTAGGAGCTTTGGCCAGTCAAAGCAAAAGGTAGCGAAAAGATAGTCACTTCAAGGTGTCCAAGTTAAGAAAACCAGGAGGTAGAATTCAAGGAGACCATGTCAAATCCTGTCAGCAAAGTCAAGGTCAGAAAGGAAGCCACTTCCTAACGACCCACACCACTGGTGGTCTCATCACGCTGTTGCACCATTTGGATGTTTTCTAATTCTCCCGGGCTGTTTTCTCTCCAATTGGACTGTAAACTCCTGGCAGGCTCAGGCAGTGCTCGGAAGGTCTCTCACACGGTCCAACCTTACGCGAAAAGCACTTATTGAAAGCACCTCGATGGCCGGGCGCGGTGGCTCACGACTGTAATCCCAGCACTTTGGGACGCCAAGGCGGGCGGATCACCTGAGCTCAAGAGTTCGAGACCAGCCTGGCCAACATAGTGAAACCCTGTCTCTACTAAAAATACAAAAATTAGCCAGGTTTGGTGGCGCGCGCCTGTAGTCCCAGCTACTTGGGAGCCTGAGGCAGGAGAATCGCCTGAACCCGCGAGGCGGAGGTTGCAGTGAGCTGAGATTGCGCCACTGCACTCCAGCCTGGGCGACACAGTGAGAAAGAAAGGAAAGAGAGAAAGAGAAAGAAAAAGAGAAAGAGACAGACAGACAGAAAGTAAGCAAGCAAGCAAGCAAGCACCTCAACAGAGACAGAGACGTAAAGAAAGAGAGACAGAGACAGAAAGAAAGAAAGCACCTCCTCAGCTTCCCATAGCGCAGGAGACTTGCTCGACCAGAGAACCTACGGTCAGACGACACATCCACTGCCACACCCATACCCAAGCCGGGACGCGGAACCGCTTCTACCCGCCCACACCGGAGAGGTTGCTCGCGATTGGCCGGGCGGGCACAGAGGCCCGCCTTCCGAAGGTGGCAGAGCAGCCTCCCCAACTAAGCCTGGGTCGCCGCCTCGGTGAAGGGCCGCGGGGCCGAGCGCGGGAAGTGGCGTCCAGTCGGTTTTTGGCAGGCGAGAGCCAGAGCGTGAGAACCCTCCCACGGCGAGGCCAAGCCCTGAGACTGGACTAGCAAGGTCGTGAGTCTCTCTGTCAGCTCTCCGCAGCGAAGGGGCGCGGGGGGCGGGGACCGTGCCCGACCGTGCCAGCTCCCGCCCCGGAAGCGGAAGTGCAAGCACTGCGGGGTCCTGTCCAGTGTGAGCCCGACCCGAGCTCCAGTAGTTCCGCCCGCTGGTCATCGCGCCCTTTCCCCTGCCGGTGTCCTGCTCGCCGTCCCCGCCATGCTGTCTCTAGACTTTTTGGACGATGTGCGGCGGATGAACAAGCGGCAGGTGAGCTTGTCCGTCCTCTTTTTCTCCTGGCTCTTCTTGTCCCTTCGAGGCTGCTGCTGCGGGGCCCGGCGGACCCCAGGGTTCTGGTGTGAGGGTCTGAGCTGGTCTGATACCCGGGTCATTCGCTTTCTTTGGAGACTGTGGCCAGAGGCCGCCTTGTCCGCCTCATTATTTTTAACCCCGAACTGATTCAGGGCCTACCGGGGGCGGGGCGGGAAGCGGTGTCTTCACGTTCCATTCCTCCCACTGAGGCAGGGGAGCAAATGGAAACCGTACGCGCTTGAAGTGGGAGTTGGGGTTGCTTATTGTTTTAGTCATTTTAAGGCGGCGGACTCTTGATTTCTCCAGTCGGAGCGACTCCAGGTGGTTTCGGGAGAGACGAGGTTTAGCCGGTTTCTGGGGCGCTCAGGAAGGCGATTGGAGGCCCCACAAAAACCGTTTTGCTGCTTTCAGCTCCTTGCAACCCTTTAGTAGAGCTGAACCGTAGCGGGCTGCACCGACTTTGACTTGGACCACTCTGGGCTCCGAGTTGGAACAGTTACACTACTTGCCCTTGCGTCCGCTTAGCACTAAGGCGGCAGCCCTCGGAATCTATGGTTTTACAGTCCAATATCAGTGCCACGGGGATCTGGAAATGTAGGTCTCCTGATTTTGTCCTTACACTTTACTTTGATCTTCTAGATCGTATGCCAAATAGTACTGAGAATATTGTTGTAATTATTTAGTCCTTAGAAAAGGTTGTTCTGTTTTATCTTTTGCGCCTAGTGTGTCTGTAGAGCCTAGTTTTGCTGCATCGGACTTTTTTTTTGTTTTAAACAGTATTTTACTGTTATGATTATCCTGATGTCACCATTAAGGATTTTTTTTCCTTGGACTTGCATTTTTTGTACTTATAACTGCCACTTAGGGAAGTAGATACACAACCTTTCCTTACTCCCCTTCAGGCCTTAGCTAGCTCAGTGTCAATTCTGTCAGTCAGAATTGAGCATTCTATAAAAATTGCGCAAACGTTACTTTATGTCTTTATGACAACACTTCAAATTTTTACTTGTATAGTGTTGTCTTTTTTTAATCCATATTTGGATTTCTAGATGCCACAGATATTTCTCTGAGGAAAGTATTTATTTTGAGTCTGATATTTATTGTACTCTATGCTAGGTACAATGAGAGAAATGCAAAGATAGTTAAGAAAGACTCGGCCTTCAAGGAGCCTAAATGTGTAGAAAAGGACTAAGGCAAAACAATAACTTTTTTGAGCTCTTGCCATGTGTGAAGCACTTTATACACCTGTAAGGTAGGTAACGTTGTTCTTATTAAACATGAAGAAAATGAGACTTTGTGAGAAGCAATACAGTATAGAAGTTAAGAATATGGACTCTAAAGCTAGATTTCAGAGGTTTGAAGTAGCTCTGCTACTTACTGGCTGTGTGACTTTGAGCAGATTACTTAACCTGTCTGTGCCTATGTTTACTTTTATTGTTGTAAAAAGATATGCAACATAAAATATTCCATTTCAACCGTTTTTACGTGTATACTTCACTGACATTAGTTGCATTCACTATGTTGTGCAAACGTAGGGTCGCTATGAAGATTAAATGAGTTAATTCATATAAAGCCCTCAGAAGAGTGTCTGGCACATGGTGAGTATTGGCTGTACTGTGGTCGATGTCATTGTTAGAGAGCTTTAGTGATTTGCTTAAGACAGAAGGTAGACTGGGTGCGGTGGCTCACGCCTGTAATCCCAGCACTTTGGGAGGCTGAGGCAGGCGGATCACAATGTCAAGAGATTGAGACCATCCTGGCCAACATGGTGAAACCCCCTCTCTACTAAAAATACAGATACTAGCTGGGCCTGTTGGCGCACGCCTGTAGTTCCAGCTACTCAGGAGGCTGAGGCAGGGGAATCGCCTGGGAGGTGGAGATTGCAGTGAGCTGAGATCGTGCCACCGCACTCCAGCCTGGTGACAGAGTGAGACTCCGTCTCAAAAAAAAAAAAAAAAAAAAAAGAAGGTATATGGCAGGATGTGGATTTGATCTCAGGTCTTACTTTAAAGCCTGAACACTTGGATAAAGAAGGATATGACCTGTTCTAGCAGTGGTAGGAAAATTTTGAGAGGTTCCAGTCAGGGCATTACGAACAGCTTCAAGGAGAAACTAGCATTTAAGTTGGATCTTGAAAGACCTTAATAGCTTCATCTTTAACCTGGGTTGGTTAGCATTCCAATAATCAAAAGGGAAGGAATTCACTCAGCACTTGCAAACCTGCTAGATAGGCTCTAAAGCATAGAGATATATAAGGTACTCTTCCTGCTCTAATAAAATGGACAGGAAGAAAGAACAGAAACATGAAGATACAATGAATAGGCTACTCTGCCCTGTGTTTCTCTAATATGGAGTGATTGTGGTTCAGAATTCATTGCATCTAGGACATTCAGGGTTAGTGGAAGTTTAAATGGTAAAATTATCCTCCCTGGCCTCCCAGAGGTTGTTAGGAATGGATAGGAGGGATTGGATAACATGGGGTGAGGGAGAGTTATGAAATGAGATCTTTATCTGTACATAATATCTAGGAGGAAGAATTGACAATACATGTAGATACTGAGAATCAGACGAAAGAGGGAAACTAGAATTTTGTTTTATTCCTCTAAAAGTTGCTATTATTTGCATAACTTCTCTGCTTATACCTAATTACATATTACATATATGTTAAATGTCTGATTGCTTTGAGTTTTTGTTTTTTTTTTCTTATCAGATCCACAGAGGAATACTTTAGTAAATGAACTCCATCCATTTAAAGTGTACCATTTGATAAGTGTTTTTTTTTTTTTTTTGAGACGGAGTCTCACTCTGTTGCCCAGGCTGGAGTGCAGTAGTGCAATCTTGACTCACTGCAAGCTCCACCTCCCAGGTTCACGCCATTCTCCTGCCTCAGCCTCCCAAGTAGCTGGGACTACAGGCACCCGCCACCACACCCGGCTAATTTTTTGTATTTTTAGTAGAGACAGGGTTTCACCATGGTCTTGATCTCCTGACCTTGTGATCCGCCTGCCTCGGCCTTCCAAAATGCTAGGATTACAGGCGTGAGCCACTGCTCCCGGCCGGCCGATAAGTTTTTATACTTACGTATACTGATCACAATCAAGATATAGAACGTATATATCACCTACAAGACCCGTTCTGTCCCACCTCTAATGTGCTTTTTGTCAGTATAGAGGGGTATGCATTTTATATAAATGGAATCATAGAGTATGTATTCTTTGGAGTTTTAATCAGTTTTTAGGCTGGACGCAGTGGCTCATGCCTGTAATCCAGCACTTTGGGAGGCCGAGCAGGTGGATTGCCTGAGCTCAGGAGTTCAAGACCAGCCTGGCCAACATGGTGAAACCCTGTCTCTACTAAAAATACAAAAATTAGCCGAGCATGGTGGTGCGCACCTGTAATCCCAGCTACTCAGGAGGCTGAGGCAGGAGAATTGCTTCAACCTGGGAGGCAGAGGTTGCAGTGAGCCCAGATCGCACCACTGCACTCCAGCCTGGGCGACAGAGCAAGGCTCTATCTCAAAAAAAAAAAAAAAAGAAAAAAAAGAAAAGAGTATGTTTCAGTTTTGTAAGAAACCATAAAACACTTTCAGAATGGCTGTACTGTTTTGCCTTTCACCAGCAATGAATGAGAGTTCCTGTTGCTCCACATCCTCCCCAGTATTTCATGTTGTCAGTGTACTGGATTCTGGGCTTTGTAATAGAGGTAGAGGTATGTTGGGTTTCTTAGAATTTTTTTTTTTTTAAGACAAGGTCTCTCTCTGTTGCCCAGGCTGGAGTGCAGTAGCATAATCACAGCTTACTGCAGCCTTGAACTCCTGGGGCTCAGGCAATCCTCCCACCTTAGCCTCCTGAGTAGTTGGGACTATGGATGTGTGCCACCATGCCTGGCTAATTTTTGTATTTTTTGTAGAGATGGAGTCTCGCTATTCTGCCCAAGCTGGTCTCAAATTCCTGGGCTCGAGTGATCCTCCCACCTCGGATCCTCAAACTGCTGGAATTACAGATGTGAGCCACCACACCCAGCCAAGTTGTTTAAATTAATTGATTTTTAACAGTGCTGCTTGTATTCTTTCTTAGTCTCTGGGTACCACCCTAGAATATTAGGTGATCTTTAAGGTCCTTTTAGCTAATAGTCATATACTATTTTATTTGTATTCTTACCTTTGTTTGGAGTACGGCTTCTTTTTTTTTTTTTTTTTTTTGAGATAGAGTCTCGCTCTATTCTGTCACCCAGGCTGGAATGCAGTGACGTGATCTCGGCTCACCGCAACCAAGTAGCTGGGATTACAGGTGTGCGCCACCACGTCTGGCTAATTTTTGTATTTTTAGTAGAGATGGGGGTTTCACCATGTTGGCCAGGCTTGTCTTGAACTCCTGACCTCAAGTGATCTGATCGCCTCAGGCTGCTAAAGTGCTGGGGTTACAGGCATGAGCCACTGTGCCTGGCCTTTAATATAATTTATTATTCTAGTTTTTTAACAGCACTGTGTTTAACAACCAGCTTGCAGAATTGCTGAAAATTTAGGAAGCTTGTTCCAGCACACCACTGATTAGTATGAGAGGTTTGTTTTTTTTTTTAATTTTTGTTTGTTTGTTTGTTTTGAGACAGGGTCTCACTCTGTTGACCAGGCTGGAGTACAGCGGCAGGATCTTGGCTCCCTGCAACCTCCTCCTTCCGGGATCAAGTGATTCTCCCACCTCAGCCTCTGGAGTAGCTGGGACTACGGGCCAGTGACACCACACCTGGCTAATTTTTGTGTTTTTTGTAGAGTCTGGGTTTCACCAGGTTGCCCAGGCTGGTTGTGAACCCCTGAGCTCAGCCATCTGCCCACCTCAGCCTCCCAAAGAGCTGGGATTGAATATAGGTGTGAGTCACTGCGCCCAGCCTTAATATGAGCATTTTTTTTTTTTTTTGAGATGGAGTCTTGCTCTGTTTTGCAGGCTAGAGTGCAATGGCTCGACCTCGGCTCACTAGAACCTCCGCCCCCCGGGTTCAAGCGATTCTCCTGCCTCAGCTTCCCAAGTAGCTGGGACTATAGGTGCGTGTGATCACACGCTAATTTTTTGTATTTTTAGTAGAGACGGGGTTTCACTGTGTTAGCCAGGATGGTCTTGATCTCCTGACCTCGTGATCTGCCCACCTCGGCCTCCCAAAGATATGTGTGTTTTTCAATGCACATTGAGGTGGTTTTTGTGTGCAGAAAAACCTATTTAGAGTTATCTTTAGTTCTAATAATTATAAAACCTAAAATTTTAAAACTAAATTCTTTCTTAAACTTGTAGAATTTGTTTACAAATCTTATCCTATTTAAAGTGTAGCAAATTTTAACAATCACTTTTTTATTTGAGACAGAATCTTGCTCTGTCGCCCAGGCTGGAGTGTGGTGGCACCATCTAGGCTCAACTGCAACCTCTGCCTCCTAGGTTCACACAATTCCCCTGCCACAGCCTCCAGAGTAGCTGGGATTATAGGCGTGCACCACCACTCCCGGCTAATTTTTGTATTTTTTTTAGTAGAGACGAGGTTTCACCATGTTGACCAGGCTGGTCTCGAACTCCTGACCTCAAGTGATCCGCCTGCCTTGGCCTCCCAAAGTGTTGGGATTACAGGTGTGAGCCACTGCACTCAGCCAACAATCACCTTTAAGAGCCTATGTTTGGTTTAATTTCAAAGTTAAACATCTTAAAATAATTAAACTTTATAAATTAAAAAAATATTTTAAAGAACTTTGATTATTCAACAAACATGGACTACTTATATAATTTTTATAGATCTGAGACTTCTTAAGTTCTCTTAAAATGTTTCAGCACTGTATATAAATAGGAAACTTTCTGATTCACATAATCTAAAACAACTGATTACACATTTTAAACTGAATTTTTAAGGCTGACTTATTACTTCACTAGGCCAAATTCTCTTAAATTTTACAAAAGTTAAAATACCAAATATAGCTGGGTGCAGTGGCTCACGCCTGTAATGGTGGAGGCCGAGATGGATGAATCGCTTGAGCCCAGGAGTTTGAGACCAGTCTGGGCAACATAGCGAAACCCCATTTCTACTAAAAATACAAAAATTAGCCAGGTGTGGTGGCACACGCCTGTAATCCCAGCTACTCAGGTGGCTGAGGCACAAGAATCACTTGAACCTGGAAGGCGGAGGTTGCAGTGAATCAAGATTGTGCCACTGCACTCCAGCCTGGGTGACAGTGTGAGACCCTGTCTCAAAAAAATGAACAGAAGAGGCCAGGTGCAGTGGCTCACGCTTGTAATCCCAGCACTTTGGGAGGCTGAGGCCGGCAGATCACTTGAGGTCAGGAGTTCGAAACCAGCCTGGCCAACGTAGTGAAGCCCCGTCTCTACTAAAAATAAAAAAATTAGTGGGGTGTGGTGGTGTGCACCTGTAATCCCAGCTACTTGGGAGGCTGAGGCAGAAGAATCGCTTGAACCCAGGAGACGGTGGTCGTAGTGAGCCAAGATCACACCACTGCACTCCAGTCTGGGTGACAGAGCGAGACTCCATCTCAAAAAACAAAACAATACCAAAAACAAAAACAAATACAAACAGAGTTCTTAACATAAGAATATTAACACTATGCACGCTTTCCCTTAAACATTCTATTTTTAATTATAAATCATTCTGGGGATAAAAATGATAGCTAGGTGCGGTGGTGCACCTGTAGTACCAGCTGCTCAGGGAGGCTGAGGCAGGATGATTGCTTGAGCCCAAGGAGTTCAAGTCTAGCCTGGTCAACATAGTGAGGCCCCATCTCTTAAAACAAAAAAAAAAGATATTTACTCACTAATAAAATAAGTATGTTATGCCAAATTATTTTTATGTTACATGTATGTCACATGTAATTTTTAGAATTGACTTCTCTGCTTGCTGAGATTTTTTTTATTGGCCAGGATGTGACTAGATCCCTGTCTGAGCCCTGAAGGGACTAAGCAGACTCCCATAAATGTGTGCTTAGCTCCCCGCAGGCCACTTATATTGCTTGATTGAATTTGCATTTCTCTGGGTTTTAATTATCTGTATGCCTTCCTGCCTAAATGTAAAGTCCTTGAGACTTAATAGGATCCTTCATTCTTTTTATATCTTCCTATCTCTTAGTATCACCCAACTCTTAACTGTTATTGCAGTGATATCTTAACGATTTCTAGATAGCTTTTTCTTTTCTTTTCATTTTTTTTTTCCTGAGATAAGGTCTCGCTCTGTCACCTAGGCTGGAGTCCAGTGATGCGATTACAGCTCACTGCAGTCTCAACCTCCTGGGTCCAAGCTATCCCCCCACCTCAGCCTCCCAAGTAGCTGGGACTACAGGTGTACACCAGGTACCATAGTGAGACTCCATTTCATACCTGGTTAATTTTTGTATTTTTTGTAGAGTTGAGATTTCGCCCTGTTGCCTAGGTATCTTTGATACTTTTTTTTTTAAACGAGTTGTCGCTCTAGTGAAACATACAGAAACCTAGGAAATTTTTCTTAGATATAGACCTAATAGGAATAAATGTGAAGCAAATAGGAGGTGTATCCAACACAGAGGATAAAGCCACTACTTTTTTTGATTATGGAAAAGTAATCTGGTCTTATTTAGGTTCAGGAAAATCTTTATTACTGGCAGGGTATCAACATTTATTAATGAATTGCCAAGTTTCAATGTAGAAATATTGATATCAGTCCCCATTACATACACAAGAACATCACAAGTAAAATTTTATTGTAAACTGCAATTAACATCAACAGGTATATTCTTTTTTTTTTTTTTTTTTTTTTTTTTGAGACAGAGCCTCACTCTGTCACCCAGGCTGAAGTGCAGTGGTGCCATCTCACTGCAACCTCTGCCTCCTGGGTTCAAGCAATTATCTTGCCTCAGTCTCCTGATTAACTGGGATTACAGGCGTGTGCCACCACGCCTGGCTAATTTTTTGTATTTTTTTAGTAAAGACGGGGTTTCACCATGTTGGCCAGGCTGGTCTTGAACTCCTGACCTCAAGTGATTCACCAGCCTTGGCCTCCCAAAGTGCTGGGATTACAGATGTGAGCCACTATGCCCGGCTGGTATATTCTTTTGAACAGCCAGAAATTATTCTTTATTCCATGTAACTGAGCAAAATCCAGAATATAGTACCATAGTAACAAAGATATTTTCTTGCTACCATTCCTTGATATTTTACATCTGTTATTTTTTTTATAACATTCTCTCCACAAATGACGTAAAGACAAGGATGATTATTCTTTTCCACAGCCAGATGGCACAAGCCTATAACAGTAAAGATGAGCTCCCCTTAGGAGAAACTGTGGTTTTAACTCTTCTTCAGAAGGGTTATCTTTTCTGCTCAAGGAAGAAAGTGAGCTGTAGAATCCAAACACTTAAGGTGTCTACTCCTTAACTGGAAAATTTTGTCCAAAAAACATGGTTTATCAGCCAGGGTTTAGTCTGGGAAGAAGAACTACTATGAATATTATTGAATAATGGATTTATTATAGTAATAAAACCTCAGCCGGGCACGGTGGTTCACGCCTATAATCCCAGCACTTTGGGAGGCCGAGGTGGGTGGATCATGAGGCCAAGAGATCGAGACCATCCTGGCCAACATGGTGAAACCCTTTCTCTACTAAAAATACAAAAATTAGCTGAGCCTGGTGGCGCATGCCTGTAGTCCCAGCTACTCGGGAGGCTGAGGCAGGAGAATTGCTTGAACCTGGGAGGCAGAGGTCACAGTGAGCCGAGATTGCGCCACTGCACTCCAGGCTGGCGACAGAGCAAGACTCCATCTCAAAAAAAAAAAAAAAAAAAAAAAGTCTCACACAATTGTAGGAGAAGCTGGATAAGTAAGAGTCTAAAAGTGGGTTAGAGACCCAGAGGAATGTCACTAAGCAGCTCTTCTGAAGCACTGGTTTGGGTGGACAGATCTAAGCTTGCCATGGAGTGTGGGACAGGATTCCACATCCAGCTGCTGGAGTGAGACTGCAAAGGAGAGCAGATGGAAGGATCCGCGGGAGGCCACTGACTGTCTGTCTAGTCTCTGAGTCAGCCAGAAGAGCTGAATTCTGCTAGCCTGTCAGTGTCTGTCTTACCATCTCTAACTACAGTGACCTTCTGCGTAATTGCAGCTACTGCACTTTCACCTTCCAAATCTTGGGCAGATTTCTTTTTGGCTAACTCTAACCCAGAACCATACAGGGAAGGGCATTTGGGGAAACCTACTTCTAGCTTAACCAAGTTGATAAAGTACAAAACTGTTAGATTCTACCCTTTGTCAACTTGGCATCTATACACACCTGTTTTTATCATGTTAGCTTTCGAATAAAGATAAAACAAAAGTTACGTTTCTGTTATAACTATCCTTTGTTTCTGTAATTGGTCACATGATCATAGCTGTTTTCTTTCTCTGCTCTCAGCAAGAACCTAAATTGGTCATAATTTCTTGCCTGATGGGGTGACCTACCCTTCTTTATTGAAGGGTTGTCATAAGAAGTCCTACCTGAATTGGGTTGTTGGAGTTTTCACTGACTTTTAGATGGGAGTACTGAGGGGCCCCAGAGATCCCCTATATTCCAGTTATATTTGCTTCCCTCATGGTGTAGTAGCAACCCTATTTCTCTCTGATGGTCAGGATCAATCACCCTAGCCAATTATAACCCTGCTGCATTTTGGTTCTCTAGAATGAGGAGCCCGAAGTGACCAAGTAGCAGTCTTAACATTCAGTTTAATGGAACCATTATGTCCCTTAATGGATGGATTAAAACCTTTGTGAATTAAAACCTTTAAATCAGGCCAGGTATGGTGGCTCATGCCTGTAATCCTAGTACTTTGGGAGGCTGAGGCAGGTGGATCACCTGAGGTCAGGAGTTCGAGACCAGCCTAGCCAACAAGGTGAAACCCCGTCTCCACTAAAAATAAAAAAATTTTTGGACATTGTGGCGGGCACCTGTATTCCCAGCTACTCAGTAGAGGCAGGAGAATCGCATGAACCCAGGAAGCAGAGGTTGCAGTGAGCTGAGATCGTGCCACTGCACTCCAGCCTGGGTGACAAGAGCAAGACTCCATCTCAAAATAAATAAATAAATAAAACCTTTAAATCAGCAGATTTAAAAGTTGTAAGGATGGGAAGCATAATTTTTTTTTTGATGGAATCTCGCTCTCTTGCCCAGGCTGGAGTGCAGTGGTGCGATCTCGGCTCACTGCAACTTCTGCCTCCTGGGTTCAAGCGGTTCTCCTGCCTCAGTCTCCTGAGTAGCTGGGACTACAGATGCACACCACCACGCCTGGCTAATTTTTGTATTTTTAGTAGAGGCGGGGTTTCACCATGTTGACCAGGCTAGTCTCGAACTCATGACCTCAGGTAATCCACCTGCCTCGGCCTCCCAAAGTGCTGGGATTACAGGTGTGAGCCACTGCGCCTGGTCTGGAAGCAGAAATTTCGCTACCAGATCATTAGGGGTAATAATGAGAGGAGTCACACCCATTCCTATCCTTTAATTCCTGGACTAGTGAATCCTAGCTATAGAAAAAACAGCACCAAATGTTGGTTGTCAGTTCAGATCATATACAACATACTGGAGAACATTAGACATTACCCCAGCCCCACAAAGTGTTGCCACCTAGCTGGTGCCATAACTGCATTCTGAAAAGGCCATTTCTGTCACGCAGAAGACAGTAACTGTAGCAGTAATTGAACAGGGAAAATCTAATATAAGTAACTGTTAACTACTAAAAGATGCTAAACTACTAAAAAGGGATAAAAGAGGACTCTTGGCTGGGCTCAGTGGCTCAGGCCTATAATCCCAGCACTTTGGGAAGCCTGGACAGGAGGATCACTTGAGGCCAGGAGTTCAAGACCAGCCTGGGCAATATAGTGAGACCCCGTCTCTACAAGAAATTAAAGTATTAGCCAGGCGTGGTGGTACTCACCTGTAGTCCTAGCTACTCGGTAGGCTGAGGTGGGAGAATCACTTGAGCCCAGAAGTTTGAGCCTGCAGTGAGCTATGATCATACTACTGTACTCCAGCCTGGGCAACAGAATGAGACCCTTTCTCTTTAAAAAGAGAAAAAAAAAAAGACTCCAGAAGTAGCATATGCAGAAAACAGCTACTATCCTCCAGGATGAGGAAGAGTGAACAAAGAAAGAACTAAGAAAGCACCTTACCCCAAACCCCTCCCAAGCCTGAGATTCAGACCTTTTGGTGAGGGTTTGGCTGCCACAGGAACATGCAACCTATCATGGCAATACCATTTGCCAGAGTACTGACCTGGAGCTGGTTTATAGTCGTGAATTACTGGAAGGTTAAGAAATTTGGCAGAGAGTGAGTGTGGGCTGGAGTCAACCTTGATGGTCCCTGAGGTGAGCACTATCAGGCTTCCAACACACAGACCCACTGGGTATCAGGTGGAATAAAATCATGTTGAAACCAGGAAGGGAAGCCCTCTGTTGCTTTGCAGTGGTCTTTCAATACCCTTTATTAATTAAACCTAACATTAAGCTAGCTGGCGGAGGATTTGTGTTTATAGGATTCAGCTTGAGTAACACAAGGAAGGAGGGTGGATTTGGAGTTGAGAGACAATAAATCGAAAACTGGCCTACTATTCTATTATTTCAGGCCAGCTACTTCAAGGTGATGAGGGACATAGTAAGACTAGTGAATTCCATGACTGCTTGTCCACTGCTGTGTTTTAGTTGCTATAAAGTAAGTCCCCCTGTCAGAAGCAATGTTGTATGGGATACCACAATGAGGAATAAGGCATTCTGTAAGATCATGGATGGTGCTTTTTGACAGAAATACTAAGGACAAGGAAGACCAATCTATATCCGGAGTTTACTCTAGCAAGAAGAAATTGCTGTTCCTTTCATGATTGAAATGATCCAGTATGATCAGCGTGCCATCAGGATTGGTGGCAGTGTTGGTTTTTTGCGGTTGGCAGGGTAGTCACTCAGTGTTGGCTAGAACCTAATAGGTCTTGGTGAGTGGAAGTCCATGTTGCTAACCTTTATCTTGGCTGCTGCAGCCACTTTGGTCATGAGTCCGTTGGGTAAGACAGGTGGCTGGGGAAATAGGCTGACTGACATCCACAGAAGAAGTCATTTTTGTTCACCTGATTATTAAGAGCTTCTGCTGAGGTAATTCTGTGATGAGCACTTATATGGCACACAATTATCTTCATATTCTATATACGTATTTGGAGTGCTCCATCCACATATCTCTTCCTCAGACTTCTTGTCTCAACTTTCCAGTGATGTCCCCTCCAAGTCGCTGTCCATCCAGCCAAACTGCTAGTCATTTTTGAATCAATGTAAATCTACATCTGTAGTCATCTCTCCATCCAGGCAAAATGAACAACTGCTGTATCGCTTGAAGCTGCCCATTGGGAGGATTTCTCTTCCTCACAATCCTTCATGATCAACCCTGCATGAGATTGTAATGCTATAGCTGTCTGCTTTCAGTTAGTGCTAGAGGGTTTATGTTGAACCATCACAAATCAGGCCTAAAGTGTTCCTTAGTCAGCTGTCAGAGGGAGCTCCTCATGAGGCAGTAAATGCAAGATGAGAGAGGAAGCAGGGTAGCATCGTTAGGAGCCATGGGTATCTGAGTCACTTGCTCATATTTACTTGTGTCTTCAAGACATGCTTGAGCCCAGTCTTCTGTATACCACTTACACTTAATGATGGAGTACTTACTGCTGTGCATGCCCTATTTTTTGGCTTGGTGAATCTGACAGCGTCCAGGCATCCGGTGCATGTCAGGGAGTTCAGGTCACATGGTAACTTGGCCCATGGTCAAGTTGTTAGTCTCTACAAGAACTCAGTAGCAAACAAAAAGCTGTTACTCAAGAGGAGAATAATTCTCCAAAGGACAGTATAGCTTTGTCCCCAATCCCAAAGGTCTTGCCTGTCATTTACTTATAAAGGACTGCTGATGGCTCCATATAGCATCCCTATCCATTACAGACACACCAGTCATCATGAAATCTTCTGAGTCACGTGGGTACTACTGTAATCCCAGGTACTAGTACAGCTTTCAAAGCTTGGACCTGTTGCGGAACCTTACTTAAAACTGGCTTAAAATGGGCTTACTAAATAAATAGAGTAAGTTGGGGAGTATTCACTTTTCTGCAATTTTCTGGAAGAGTTAGTGTGTAGAATTGTTAGAATTGTTTTCCTTAAATGTCTGGTGGAATTTGCCAGTGAATACCATCTGAGCCTGGAGTTTTCTTTGTGGGAAGATTTTAAATCCATAAATTCAAATTATATGTAGGTCTATTCAGGTTGTCTATTTCTTCTTGAGTGAATTTTGGTAGTTGGTATCAAGGAATTGACTTACTTCATCAAAGTTGTCTAATATGTAAAGTTGTGTAATATATTGGTATAAATATATTTATAAACTGGGCACTGTTGCTTGTGTCTATAATCTCAGCTGCTCAGGAGGCTGAGGCAGGACGATTGTTGAGCCCAGGAGTTTGAAACCAGCCTGGGCAACATAGCAAGACCTCATCTCTAAAATTTTTTTTTTTTTTTTTGAGACGGAGTTTCGCTTTTGCTGCCCAGGCTGGAGTGCAGTGGTGCATGCGATCTTGGCTCACTGTTGCAGTGAGCCTCCCGGGTTCAAGTGATTCTCCTGCCTCAGCCTCCCGAGTAGCTGGGATTACGGGTGCCCGCCACCACGCCCAGCTAATTTTTGTATTTTTAGTAGAGATGGGGTTTCACCATGTTGGCCAGGCTGGTCTCAAACTCCTGATCTCAGGTGATCCGCCTACCTCGGCCTCCCAAAGTGCTGGGATTACAGGTGTGAGCCACTGCGCCCAGCCAAAAATTTTTGAAAAAATTAGCCGGGTTATTAGTTGCAGAAATGTTTAGAATTTTTACATTCTCATGATGAACTTACCTCCCTATTATTATTATTATTATTATCATTGTTATTGAGACAGACTCTCGCTGTGTCTCCAGGCTGGAGTGCAGTGGCACGATCTCGGTTCACTGCCACCTCCGCCTCCCGGGTTCAAGCAATTCTCCTGCCTCAGCCTCCCAAGTAGCTGGGACTACAGCCGCACGCCACCACACCCAGCTAATTTGTGTATTTTTAGTGAAGATGGGGTTTCACCATGTTGGCCAGGATGGTCTCGATCTCTTGACCTGTGATCCGCCCACCTTGGCCTCCCAATGTGCTGGGATTACAGGTGTGAGCCACTGTGCCCGGCCAAAATCTACTTTGTATGATATTAATGCAACCACTCCAGCTTGCTTTTTTTTTCTTCAATTTTCTTTTGATTAATGTAAGCATGATATGTGTTTTTCTCTTTTTTTCTTTCACAATATTTGTGTCTTTATATTTAAAGTGCATTTTTTGTAGGCAGCATATAATTGAACGTTGTTTTATTTATCCAAGTGGACAATATTTAACTTCTAAGTATAGTATTTAGATCATTTACATTTTTTTTTCTTGAAACGGAGTCTTGCTTTGTTGCCCAGGCTGGAGTGCAGTGGCATGATCTCAATAAGTATAAAATATAAGTATCTATTATGCCTGTAATCCCAGCTACTTGGGAGGCTGAGGCAGGAGAATTGCTTGAACCCGGGAGGTGGAGGTTGCAGTGAGCTGGGATCATGCCATTGCACTCCACCCTAGGCAACAAGAGCAAAACTCCATCTCAAAAAAAAAATTATTATTATTATTGTTATTGAGATGGAGTCTTGCTATGTTGCCCAGGCTGGTCTCAAACTCATAGGCTCAAGTGATCCTCCCACTACAGCCTCTTGCTGAGTAGCTGGGACTATAAGTGCATGCCACCATGCCTGGCTCAGTCTTTTTTTTTTTTTTTTTCCTATTTGCTTTTTCATTTGAGATAATTTCTATTGTTATGACTTCAAGTTTGCTAAACTTTTCTTCTGAGGTGCCTAGTCAGCTGTTATTTTCACCTGTCTGCTGTTTATTTCAGACATTGTTATTTTTTGTCTCTAGAAGTTTGATTTAGGTCTTGGATTTTTTTTTTTTTTTTTTTTTTGATATGGAGTTTCGCTCTTGTTGCCCAGGTAGGAGTACATGCAATGGCGTGATGTCGGCTTACTGCAACCTCTGCCTTCCGGGTTCAAGTGACTCTGCTACCTCAGCCTCCCTAGTAGCTGGGATTACAGGCATGCGCCACCACGCCTGGCTAATTTTGTATTTTTAGTAGAGACAGAGTTTCTCCATGTTGGTCAGGCTGGTCTCAAATTCCCAACCTCAGGTTATCTGCCTGCCTCGGCTTCCCAAAGTGCTGGGATTACAGGTGTGAGCCACCGCGCCTGGCCTCTGGATATTTTTTCTATCATCCACATCTCTACTTAATGTGCTAACTTTTCCCCTACCTTTTTTTTTTTTTTTTTTTTTTTTTTTTTTTTTTTTTTTTTTTTTTTGAGACAGAGTCTTCCTCTGTCACCCAGGCTCGAATGCAGTGGTGTGATCTCGGCTCACTGCAACCTCCACCTCCTGGGTTCAAGCAATTCTCCTGCCTCAGCCTCCTGATTAGCTAGGACTACAGGCATGCGCCACCATGCCCGGCTAATTTTTGTATTTTTAGTAGAGATGGGATTTTACCATGTTGGCCAGGCCAGTCTAGAACTCCTGACCATGTGATCTGCCCGCCTTGGCCTCCTAAAGTTCTGGGATTACAGGCATAAGCCACCTCGCCCAGCAAATATCCCTTTCTACTAATCCTATAATTTCTGCCATTTCTGGGTCTGTTTCTGTTTATTGATTTTTCTCATTATAGGTCATATTTTCTTGCCTCTTTGCATGTCTGGTAGTTTTTTATTGGTTGCCAGACTTTGTGAATTTTACCTTTTTGGGTGCTGGATATGTTTGGATTTGCATAAATATTCTTGAGCTTTATTCTGGGTTACAGGCAAGTTAGTTGGAAACAGTTTGGTCTTCTCAAGCTCTTGTGAAGCTTTGTTAGATGGATCCAGAGCGGCCTTTAGTCTGTGGCTAATTTTGCACTACAAGTGAGTAATACCTTTCTGAGTACTCTAATCCAAAGCCCCGTGAAGATTTCCACTCTGTCTGGTGGAAACAAACTATTCTTACGCCATAAGAGCTGTGAGAATTGTTCCATCCGCTGCTTTTAGATGGTTGTTTTTCCATCCTCAGGAGTCCCCTCACATGCATGCACTGATCATTGCTTTTGCCTCCCTGAACTCCCAGTTCTTTTTTTTGTGTGTGTGTGTCTTTGTTTTTTTCTTTTTCCGTGGAGAACGGGGATCTTGCTGTATTGCCCAGGCAGGTCTTGAACTCCTGGGCTCAAGCTATCCTCCTGCCTCTGCCTCCCTAAGAGCTGGGATTACAGGCATGAGCCACCGTGCCTGGCTGAACTCCCCAGTTCTTTATCCTCAAGTCAGGGAGACTGCTAGGCTCTGTCTGCATTTCTCCTTTGCCCTGTGGTCTGGAAATTCTCCGATCTATAAGTTGAGGCAGTTGTAGGTCTCACCTTCTTTGTTTCCCCTTTCTAAGTAATCACAGTCCTTACTACCTGAACACAGTCATATAGCCAATGTCCGAAAACCCTTGTTTCATATATTTTGTCCAGTGTTTTAGTTATTTCAGGCAGGAAGGTAAATTTGGTCTCTTTAACTCATTTTGGCTAGAACAGCATATTTTGTTTTTTTTGTTTCCTGGTTTTTTTTTTTTTTTTTTTGGAGACAAGAGTCTTGCTCTGTTGCCCAGGCTGGAGTGCAGTGGTGTGATCTCAGCTCACTGCAACCTCTGCCTCCCAGGTTCAAGTCATCCTCCCACCTCAACCTCCCGAGCAGCTGGGACCACAGGCACGTGCCACCACGCCTGGCTAAATTTTGTATTTTTGGTAGAGATGGGGTTTCGCCATGTTGGCCAGGCTGGTCTCAAACTCCTGGCCTCAAGTGATCTGCCCTCCTTGGCCTCGCAAAGTGCTGGGAGTATAGGCATGAGCCACCACTCCTGGCCAGGACAGCATATTTTGGAAATTCACCTATGTTGCATGTGTCAATAGTTAATTCCTTTGTATTCCTGAGTAGTATTCCATTTTGTGGAAATACTACGATTTATGTACGGGTTGAGTATCTGTTATCTGAAATGCTTGGGGCCAGAAGTATTTTGGACTTTTTTTTTATTTTGGAATACTTCTATTTGCATTTTACCGGTTGAACATCCCAAATCTGAAATATCCAAAATCCAAAATGTTCCAGTGAGCCTGAATTCATCTGTTGATGGGCATTTGAGTTATTTCCGGTTTGAGGCTATTATGAGGGAAGCTGCTGTACATGTGTTTGTATATGTTAAATGTGTTTTCACTTGTCAGATTTTAAAAGATTTAACAGATTTTTAAAGTGAAAATTGTTTTAATGATGGTATGCTTATTTAGACTATTAGGAATTTAAAAAATTATCATTTAAGATTCATTCCAGGTCCTGCATTGATTTTATTGGGTCACAATAATAGTGTCCATTTGAAGATATTTCAATTTTTTCAGCACCGTCAATTTCACTTCTAGCTGCTATCAGTATACCTTCTGTAATATCTAGCTTCTGATTTCTCCTTTCATGAGTTAGAAAGCAGGAGAATTGTGATTATGGATTAATGAGTCCCTTAATTTGAGGTCTTAAGATAAATGGAATTTAAGACTTAGGCCAACTGCTATTTTGTAGCTCTAAGACACATTTTTGCTTCTGATTTCTATGAACATATCTTATATGTTGAACTTCAAATATCTCTTACAAGAATAGGAAGCACAATGGTGTATTTGATCATTGTGATCAGTAAATACACAGGATGTAGCTTCTAGATGGTAGCCCATTAAATTATAGTATTTAAAATTATTATCAACTTTTATCTTGCTGAATTTTCTGTGTTAGGTTTTTCTTAATTTCTTATTATATATTACTTAGAGTGGATTATAAATTGTCTTGTGGCTTATTCTAGTCACAGGAGTTTGGGGGAAGGCTCTACACAATACTTCCTAAAAAGAAAAAAAAGAATAGTAAACACAAATCCCTATATCACAGCTGCTGAGAGATATTATATAGAACTTTGATATCATTCTTTTCTAGTTTCACCTTGAGCATTGAAGAAATATTGTTCTGGTCATTTCTTAGAAAAAATAATAAGGCTATTCAATTCTGTGGTTATTATTCTACATATGTTGCAATGTCTTTATTAATAGTTAGCTTGATGTGGTCAGATATGAGGTTAGGTAGCTGCCACCTTATTTCTGCCAATACAGAAAGAGGCAACACTTTTTTTCCAATTATATACATTCCTAAGCATTCAGACATAGTGATAAAGAAAGTAGGGGCTAGGGAGGCAATATGTTTGACGTTTGAGTAAAGACTGTTGGCAGGAAAAGAGAGGGTAAAAAGAAAGGGAGAAGAGTATGACACTTTTCAATCTTTTGCTCAGATACAATGTTTGTTTTAGCAAATAGTGTGCTTCTGTCTAGGTTTTGGCTTGCAGATTGACTTAGCAGTATACAAATAGGTACCTTTTAAGGAACATACCAGTTATACATAATCAGGAACTTTAACCTCTTTCTCTAATAAAAATGAGGAAGATGATCTTGATGATTAGCTACATTTCACAATAATAATTCCATAATAAAAGTATTATATGTCTGAGAAAAAGGAGAAGGATAATTATGGCTGGGATAGTGACCTTTCTTGCAAGAACATAGGAAATTATATATTTTAACTTGTTCATTTTTATTGTATTATTATTTTTTGAGACAAGATCTCACACTGTTACCCATGCTAGAATGCAGTGGTGCTGTCACAGCTCACTACAGCCTCAACCTCCTGGGCTCAAGCAATCCTCCTACCTCAGCTTCTTAAGTAGTTGGGACTACAGGTGTGTGCCACCACACTCAGCTAATTAATTTTTTTTTTTTAAGAGACAGGGTCTTGCTATGTTGCCTTGGCTGGCACTTTTTTTTTTCTTAATTTTTAAATTTTGTTATTTTTTTTTTAGAGATAGGGATCTCACTATGTTGCCCAGGCTGAACTCGAACTCCTGGGCTCAAGCAGTCCTCCCACCTTGACCTCCCAAAGTGCTGGGATTATAGGCATAAGCCATTGCACCCGGTGGGCATTTTTCTTTTAAATAGCAGTTATCTTATTAAATGTCTAATTAGGTAACTTCTGCAACTCTATAACCGAGCCCTTTTGAAAATGGAAATTTTTTTTCCCCAACAAAATAGACGTGAACTGTGGGTTTTTGTTTTGTTTTGTTTTTAGTTTTTATTTACTTCAGTGTGAATTTTTGTTTTGCTGCCAAAATCTTAATGTGTTTGATATTGGGATATTGCCATAAACCCTGCTAAGAGTATATGTAACATAGGGTACATGCAAGTATTACCTTTTCAAAATCACACCCATTCTGAATCCTGGAACACATCTGACCCCCAAGGGTTTTGAGTAAGGGATTATGGAGCTATATACATTGTAGAATCCTACAACCCCTTCCTCAGAGGTTCTGAATTAGGGCCCAGAATCTATTGTCCTAACCAGTACTGTAGGTGATATTTTTAGTGCAGAAAGTTGGAAATTTGAGTCTTAACTGAATTCCTCACTGTTTATCTTCTGGTTGACATAATTGTGTCTTAGAAGCTAGTTTTCCTACTTCTATCATGTCCCACTCCACGTCTTCAATTCAGCCTTCAGAATAAGAAGACCCATTTTGTCTTTTAAAAAGCCACCATCTTGAAAACATAGAATTTAGGAGGCCAGAGTTCTAATAGTGCTACTCTGCCAGCCAGTAGACAAGCAGCCATGAGCATGTCGCTTAGCTTCTCTGTGCCTCAGTTTCCTTACCTGTAAATGTGAGTGTCAAAGTAGGTTTCAGATTATCCATGTGCTCACATCACTCTATTACTGAAAGAACAGCAAATATTTCTAATTGTCTCGGCGAAAATGTTCATATTTCCTTTTGTGGAAATTGATTAATTACATTGATTGAGTACACCGTGCTTCATTGGAATGCTAGAAGAATAGTGTTCTGGCCATTAGCGTGGACTTAAAAAAATAAACCAAAACAGTTTAGTTTTGAACAGGTGATACTTGCATATAGTAAAAACTGTAAAAACATGAAGTATGTATATCAGAAAATATTTTTCTTCCACCTTGACTCCTGGTTCCTTTTCTCCAGTTTCTTGTCTGTCTTTTCAGAGATTAACTGTGCATTTATAAGAATATGAAACTTGATCGCTTCTCGGCCTTTTGGCTAAGATCAAGTGTGAAGAATATGAAACTTGAAATGTTTTTAAAAAGTATGCAGGAAAAACAGGTTAATTGTAGGGAGAAAATAGAAAATGGTACAAGAGAGCTGGATTCCTCATCACAATTGTATTTATTTTTTGAGACACAGTCTTGCTCTGGCACCTGGGCTAGAATGCAGTGGGGCAATCATAGCTCACTGCAGCCTTTACGTCCTGGGTTCAAGTGATTCTCCTGCCTCAGCCTCCAAGGAGCTGGGACTACAGGCATGCACCACCACACCCAGCTAATTTTTCTTTTTTTTTTTTTGAGACGGAGTTTCGCCCTTGTTGCCCAGGCTGGAGTGCAATGGTGCGATCTCGGCCCACTGCAACCTCCGCCTCCCAGGTTCAAGCGATTCTCCCACCTCAGCCTCCCGAGTATCTGAGATTACAGGCATGTGCCACCAAGCCCAGCTAATTTTGTATTTTTAGTAGACATGGGGGTTTCTCCATGTTGGGCAGGCTAGTCTCGAACTCCCAACCTCAGGTGATCTGCTCGCCTTGGCCTCCCAAAGTGCTGGGATTACATGCGTGAGCCACCGAGCCCAGCCTCTGGATATTTTTTTTTAATCATCCGCATCTCTATTTAGTGTGCTAAATTTTCCTCTACCTTCTTTTTTTTTTTTTTTTTTTTTTTTTTTTTAGATGGAGTCTTGCTGTGTCGCCCAGGCTGGAATGCAATGGTGCGATCTCAGCTCACTGCAACCTCTACCTCCCGGGTTCAAGCAATTCTCCTGCCTCAGCCTCCCGAGTAGCTGGAATTACAGGCACACGCCACTGCGCCTGGCTAATTTTTGTATTTTTAGTAGAGATGGGGTTTCACCATGTTGGCCAGGCTGGTCTTAAACTCCTGACCTCGTGATCCGCCTGCCTCGGCCTCTCAAAGTGCTGGGATTACAGGCGTGAGCCACTGCACTCGGCCTTTTTTTGTATTTTTTTTTGTAGAGATAAAGGTCTTGCTTTCTGGTCTCGAACTCCTAGGCTCAAGTGATCCTCCCACCTCAGCCTCCCAAAGTGTTGGGATTACAGGCATGAGTCTCTGTGCCTAGCCCCTCATTGTACATTTTGAACATCATGCATTAACACCCTAGTATGAAAGTAAACAAACAGTTTTTAGAGTGGTTGGGGTAAACACCAGAATGAATAGCTAGAAGAGATGAAAATGGTTGATGTAGGTGGCCTGCCATGGCTAGGATATTGCTTTTTTTTACATATTCTTGTATGTATGTGTGTATACTGTTTTGATTAAAAATAACAATTGATTTAAAAAGGGAAGTAGAAAATGTAGATGATCAAAATGAAATAAATAAGAATTGCCTAGTATTACACCCCCAAATATAACAACTAACATTTATTTTATTTTCTTCCTTTTTTTTTTTGAGAGAGTCTTGCTCAGTTGCCCAGGCTGGAGTGCAGTGGTGCGATCTCAGCTTACTGCAACCCCCGCCTCCTGGGTTCAAGTGATTCTTGTGCTTCAGCCTTTTGAGTAGCTGGGATTACAGGCATGTCCCACCACACCCAGCTAATTTTTGTGTTTTTAGTAGAGATGGGGTTTCGCCATGTTGGCCAGGCTGGTCTCCTACTTCTGGCCTCAAGTGATCCACCCACCTCAGCCTCCCAAATTGCTGGGATTACAGATGTGAGCCACTGCACCTGGCTTCTTCCATATTTTCTATGCATTTTTTGGAATTTTTCAGAAAAAATTGAAAAAACAGTACAGGGAACACCTGTAATCTGTCACACAGATCCAACAATTATTAGCATTTTGGCCATATTTGTTCTATGTATACTTATGTGTGTGTGCATATATAGAATTTTCTTTTGCTGAATCACTTGAAAATGAGTTGCAGATATGAGAATTCACCCCTAACTACAACTACTAGCTAACTACTACTAATATGCATCTCCTGTGATAAGGATAGTATTCCACATAACCACAACACCATTATCACATAATTTAAGAAAATTAGAGGCCGGGTACAGTGGCTCACATCTGTCATCCCAGCACTTTGGGACGTCAAGGCGGGTGGATTGCTTGAGGCCAGGAGTTTGAGACCAGTCTGGCCAGCATGGTGAAACCCCGTCTCTACTAAAAATACAAAAATTGGCCGGGCGTGATGATGCATGCCCATTGTAATCCCAGCTACTTGGGAGGCTATGGCACGAGAATCACTTGAACTTGGGAGGTAGAGGTTGCAGTGAGCTGAGATCATGTCACTGCACTCCAGCCTGTGTGATAGAGCAAGACCCTGTCTCAAAAAAAAAAAAGAAGAGAAAAAAAGAAAACATGAATTTCCTAATGTCATTTAATATTCAAATCATATTTTGAGTTTCCCCAGTTCACCCCAAAATATTCAGATTTTTTCTTATGCTTTTTTTTTTTTGAACCAAGATCCAGCCAAAGTTTGTGCATTATTAGAACTGAATGAGAAGAAAAAAACAACAAAGAAACCAAAGTTTGTGCGTTACATTTGGTTGTTATATCTCTTTAGTACTTTTTAATCTAGAACAGTCTTCCACCTTTTTTTCCATGACATTGAATGACATTGGATTTTTGAAGAGACTAGGACAGTTGTGTAGAATGTCCACAAGCAAATATTAACAAAAGTGACCAGGCATGGTGGCTCATACCTGTAATCCCAGCCCTTTGGGAGGCTGAAGTAGGCGGATTGCTTGAGCCCAGGAGTTCAAGATCAGCCTGGGCAATATGGCGAAACCTCATCCCTACAAAACATACAAAAATTACCACGTCTGGCTACTCGGGAGGCTGAAGTGGGAGGATTGCTTGAGCCCAGGAGTTGGAGGCTGCAGTGAGCTGTGATTGTGCCACTGCACTCCAGCCTGGGCAACAGAGTAAGACCTTTTGAAACTTCTGTTTTTTCACTTTATATTACTAATATTTTGTTAGATCCACAGTTTCAGTCCTGTGTTTAAGTTTCTTCATAGTTGGACCTTAATATATGCTTTTTCAGATTTCTCCCAGTACTTTCCAGTACCAGCTTTTTCCTTGAACTATTTGCCATGGTGTCTAGTCATCCTCTCTATACTTTTTCCAGCCTTGGCCCAAAACAGTTAGCTCACATTATTTATCTTATCTGATTTTGTAATATTTTTTGCCTTTTTCCACGTGTTCTGAATTTTCTTTATTTGAAATTGAAATGCCGTCTGGTGTTTTATCTGTTTATTCAAGTCACAGAATTTTAGAGTTTGTTGGAGTACTGGAAATTTAGTAAGAAGGCTGACCTTCAAGTCTTGACTATGTGACTGATAAGCTTAGGACTTGGTGAAGTCTCCTCTTTTCGAGACAGTTTCCTTAACTGTAAAATGAGAAGGTAGAGTTAAATGTCATTAACTATTCCCATGATTATCAAGGGATAAGTATAGTAGAAAAGTAATAGAGGGCCGGGTGTGGTGACTCACGCCTGTAATCCCAGCCCTTTAGGAGGTGGAGGTGGGCAGATCATTTGAGGTCAAGAGTTCGAGACCAGCCTGATCAACATGGTGAAACCCAGTTTCTACTAAAAATTCAAAAAAATTAGCTGGGCGTGATGACGCATGCCTGTAGTCCCAGCGACTCGGGAGGCTGAGGCAGGAGAATTTCTTGAACCCAGGAGACAGAGGTTGCAGTGAGCTGAGATGGCACCACTGTACTCCAGCCTGGGTGACTGAGCAAGAGCGAGGCTCCATCTCAAAAAAAAAAAAAAAAAGAAAAAGAAAAAGTAATAGAGGAGTTCAGAAGCAGAGACAGATTACTCTTGGCTGGTAAGTAGCATGAGTGATAAATTTAAGCTGAATGATTATGGAGCCCAAATGAAATAACTTGTGTGAAATGTTCTTAAAATAATATGGTGTTATATAAATGTAACTGATGTTTTACCAAACAAAATGGAGCAGGGTGCTTTGGGTGAAAGAAGGGGGGCCTGTTTTGATCTGCTGATGGCATAATTATTATAATGTATTAAAGAATGTCTCAGAACTGTAGTTGTCCTAATAGTACTGCTTGAAACTTTCAAATTGTTACTGCTTTCAGTTGCTTTCCGAAGTGGGGATAATGGTGGATCTGATCTCTTCTGTTTTGTTCTTGCAGCTCTATTATCAAGTCCTAAATTTTGGAATGATTGTCTCATCGGCACTAATGATCTGGAAGGGGTTAATGGTAATAACTGGAAGTGAAAGTCCGATTGTAGTGGTGCTCAGGTAACAGTTTTTCCTTTCAAGGCATGGAATTGCATGGCATTACTTGGGAGAAAAATTGAGATATGAAATAACTGGCATATCATTCTCTTAGAAACTACTCTTTTCCAGAAAAGGGCCTGGAAGAAAATTAGTCACTACTTATCAGTTGTAAGAAATTCTCAGGCTGGGCACGGTGGCTTATGCCTGTAATCCCACCAATTTGGGATGCTGAGGCCGGTGGATTACTTGAGCTATGGAATTTGAGACTAGCTTGGGCAACGTGGTGAAACCCTGTCTCCACAAAAAATACAAAAATTAGCGGGTGTGGTGGCATGGACCTGTAGTCTCAGCTACTCGGGAGGCTGAGGTGGGAGGATCACCTAAGCCCTAGAGGTTGAGGCCTGCAGTGAGTTGTGATTGCACCACTGCACTTCAGCCTGGGTGACAGAGCGAGACCCTGTCTCCAAAAAAAAAAAAAAAAAGAGAGAAAAGAAATTCTTACTTTGTTAGGCATTTCCATTCAGAACTCCAAAGGGCTCATGACCTTTCTACAAAAAAGTTACCATGTTAAGGTTTGTTTTTGTCACATCCCTTAATAAAGTGTCTCGTTGTACTTTATTTTCCTGAAATTCTTCTGTCTTTTTATATTCCTCATTTTGATACACCAGGCCTGATATTTAGTTGTTAGTTCATTAGATGTTATAGTACTTCCACAAATTAAGAGTTTTTCTGTAGCATGTTCTCAATGTCAGGATAGAATCATCACTAATTATTTCCAAGTTTCCTGCTGACCTTTAAATATCACTTCTAAACTAGACTCCAGGAATTTTGAAGGCATTAATACCATCTCTTATGGTGACAAATAGTACTGAATTTTTTTTCTCCACTCTGCTTCCTTCCCTATCTTTGCACTCATACTCTTAGTGAATATTTTTTTTAAAGATGGGGTCTCGCTCTGTTACCCAGGATAGAGTGCAGTGGCGCCGTCATAACTCACTGCAGACTCCACCTACCGGTCTCAAGGGATCCTTCCATTTTAGCCTCCTGAGCAGGTGGGACTGCAGGCCTGCCCCACCATGCCTGGTTAATTTTTTAATTTTTTTGTAGAGACGGTGTATTAGTCCATTTTCATGCTGCTGATAAAGACGTACCCAAGACTGGGCAATTTACGAAAGAAAGAGGTTTACTGGACTTACAGTTCCACGTGACTGGGGAGGCCCCACAATCATGGCAGAAGGTGAAAGGCAGGTCTCACATGGCGGCAGACAAGAGAAGAGAGCTTTTGCAGGGGAACTCCCCTTTTTAAAACCATCAGATCTCGTGAGACTTATTCACTGTTACTAGAACAGCACAGGAAAAACCTGCCCCATGATTCAGTTACCTCCTGCTGGGTCCCTCCCAAAACACGTGGGAATTCAAGATGAGATTTGGGTGGGGACACAGCCAAACCGTAGCAGATAGGATCTCACTGTGTTGCCCAGTCTGGTCTTGAACTCCTGGGTTCAAGGATCCTCCCACCTTGGCCTCCCAACATGCTGGGATTACAAGCATGAGCCACCATGCGCAACCACTCTTAGTGATTTTAAAACCTAATTTAGTAACTCATTTTTAGAGAATTACCACTTGGTTGTTTGACTGAAACATTATAGGCTGGGTGTGGTGGCTCACACCTGTAATCCCAGCACTTTGGAAGGCCAAGGCGGGCAGATCACTTGAGGCTAGGAGTTCGAGACCAGCCTGGCCAGCATGTTGAAACCCCATCTCTACTAAAAATACAAAAATTAGCTGGGCGTGGTGGCAGGCGCCTGTAGTCCCAGCTACTCAGGAGGCTGAGGCAGGAGAATTGCTTGAACCTAGGAGGCGGAGATTGCAGTGAGCGGAGATCGCTCCATTGCACTCCAGCCTGGGTGACAATTGAAATTTTGTCTCAAAAAAAAAAAAAAAAAGAAAGAAAAGAAACATTACAGTTTTGTCATATTTTGGGCTTAATTTTGTAAGCCCAGATCTTTTCTGGAGATAATGGAGTGCATATTTAAAATAAATGGAATTATTAATATTATCTAGAATCTAAATAATAGTGCATTAACATTATCTAGAACCTAAGTAATAGTACTTAGATTACTCTTTTTTAACCAAATTATCGAGATATGATTGACATACAAAAAGCTGTACATATTTAATGTATACAACTTGATCAATTTGCAGGTAAGTATATTCCTGTGAAACCATCATCACAATCAAGCAAGTGAATATATTCATCACTTTCAAAAGTTTCTTCCCTTTCTATTTTTTTGTGATAAGAACATTTAACACAGGGCCTCCCTCCATCGCCCAGACTGGAGTGTGCCATCACACTTGGCTAATTTTTTTTTTACAGAGACTGAGTCTTGAACTCCTGATCTCAAGTGATCCTCCCCCCTCAACCTCCCAAGTGCTGGGATGATAGGCTTGAACCATCGTGCCTGGCCCCCAGTTTCTTTTCTTTTCTTTTTTTTCTTTTCTTCTTCTTCTTTTTTTTTTTTTTTTGAGACAGAGTCTCACTGTATTGCCCAGGCTGGAGTGCAATGGCGCAATCTCAGCCCATTCAACCTCCACCTCCTGGGTTCAAGTGATTCTTCTGCGTCAGCCTCCTGAGTAGCTGGGATTACAGGCGTGCGCCACCATGCTCACCTAATTTTTGTATTTTTAGTTGAGACTGGGTTTCACTGTGTTGATCAGGCTGGTCACGAACTCCTGACCTCAGGTCACCTGCCCACCTCGGCCTCCCGAAGTGCTGGAATTACAGGTGTGAGCCACCGCACCTGGCTGAGATTTTTTAAAAGTCCCTCAGGTCATTCCAATGTGCAGCAAAATTTGAGACCCACTGCCATATCCCTTTACATAGAGGGAAGAGAGTCTTTAAACAAAAGTGTTTGGAGTTTGTACTTATTCCTGCGTTGAACTTTATTTCTTGTCTTTCTATTCTTACTTAAGCTGTTGTTATAGAAAACCGGAGCTTGAGTTTCTGAAAAAGACTGATGGGCTACTTCTTTATAGATAAAAAGGGGTTCATAAATTAGTGCAAATATCTTAGGACCTTTTCAGCACTTGGCGTAGGATGGAAGAGGTAAGAGGTAAGAAGATACTCTGTAGAAGTTAGTCTTACTTGTTACCATGGAATTGAATCTTTTCCTGGCTTCGGAAATTCTTAGGCAAAAATCTCTGCTTATTCCTTGGTTTTCTTTTTTTCTCTTTTTAAAATAAGTAAATTGATAACACAAGCTTTATCTCTGTAGCTGGCTGTTCCTTGACTTGATGAGCCATTTTTCCTTCTAAATGAGTTGAACATATAAGGTCATCTTGGCTGTTATCTTTATAAATGGCAGAGGAAGATGATCCAGTTCTCATTTGCATATCTGAATATGTTTAGTGTTTTCAGATGAAGTGAGAATAAGGGCATTGTTTTAAAGTTCATTCTTTTATATTCTGTTTGTCA
The DNA here is from genome assembly GCF_000001405.40 of Homo sapiens. Taxonomy (NCBI): domain Eukaryota; kingdom Metazoa; phylum Chordata; class Mammalia; order Primates; family Hominidae; genus Homo; species Homo sapiens. The sequence goes on along the minus strand of NC_000015.10, from coordinate 84,688,080 downwards.
TTTGAAATTTTAAAAGGTTAAGGAATTAGTAACACTGACCTTTTCAAGATTTAAGCTTCTTTGACTAGTGATACTTGAAATGGAACTAGTTAGTGAAGGTTAATAACTAAAAAAAAATCCTTTGGCGTAACTTTTTAGTCTGAGGAAACCATATTTTGAGAACAATACACATTTCTGTTGATATAGTTGTTAGGGTATTGAGTATACTCCCAAAGTGATATTTTTTATTTTGTTGAATATCTAATTTTGAAAGTACATTTAATCTCATACTTTCTTTTTGCTGTTATATTCTTCTTTCCCTTCCAGTGGCAGCATGGAACCTGCATTTCATAGAGGAGATCTTCTCTTTCTAACAAATCGAGTTGAAGATCCCATACGAGTGGGAGAAATTGTTGTTTTTAGGATAGAAGGAAGAGAGATTCCTATAGTTCACCGAGTCTTGAAGATTCATGAAAAGTATGTGCAAAGTATAGCATCTTTGTTTCTAAGTGCTTTTGTTTAAGTGTTTGTGGTATTTAGTTTTGATAGCCTAAAGATTGTAAAACAGTGAGGAACCTCTAGGCCTTCTTCCAGTCCATTTTTATGAATGCTGGAAAGTTTAGTGAACATTTTGAAAACTGTAAATAATTATTTATTAGTTCATTTCTTTCCCTGAAGGTTTTTCCAGAGGTTTTTCTTTGTTCCCTTTTACTTCCCAACCTGTCAGTGACTCTGTATATAATTCCAAAAAACTATGACATAAAGATAGATCCTAAATAGAATCTTCTGGTTGGGCACAGTGGCTCACGCCTACAATCCCAGTACTTTGGGAGGCCAAGGTGAGAGAATGGCTTGAGCTCAGGAGTTTGAGGTCAGCCTGGGCAACATGGTGAGACTCCTTCTCTATTAAAACAAAACAAAACCAAAAAAGGCCAGGCATGGTAGCTCACGCCTGTAATCCCAGCACTTTGGGAGGCCGAGGTGGGTGGATCACCTGAGGTCAGGAGTTCGAGACCAGCCTGGCTAACATCGTGAAACCCTGTCTCTACTAAAATATAAAAATTAGCCAGGTGTGGTGGTGGGCGCCTGTAATCCCAGCTACTTGGGAGGCTGAGGCAGGCGAATTGCATGAACCTGGGAGGTGGAGGTTGCAGTGAGCCAAGATTGCAGCACTGCACTCCAGCCTGGGCGACAGAGCCAGACTCCATCTCAAAAAATAAATAAATAAATAAATAATTAGCTGGGCGTAGTGGCATGTGCCTGTAGTCCCAGCTAATTGGAGGACTGAGGTGGGAGGATTGTGTGAGCCCAGGAGTTTGAGGCTGCAGTGAGTCGTGTTTGTGCCACTGCACTCCAGCCTGGGCGACCGAGTGAGACCCTGTCTCAAAAAAGAAAAAAGAAAGAAATGAAAGAAAAGGGAGGCATCCTGTATGACACACAGACGAGAAGTGAAAGAGTAGGCATGATTTCGGTTCTTTTTTTGTTTGTTTTTTGAGACAGTTTCCCTCTGTTACCCAGGCTGGAATGCAGTGGCGCTATCTCGGCTCACTGCAACCTCCACCTCCCAGGCTCAAGTGATTCTCATGCCTCAGCCTTCTGAGTAGCTGGGATTACAGGCATGTGCCACCATGCCCAGCTAATTTTTGTATTTTTAGTAGAGACAGGGTTTCACCTTGTTGGCTAGGCTAGTCTCGAACCCCTGGCCTCAAGTGATCCGCCTGCCTTGGCCTCCCAAAGTGCTGGGATTACAGGCATGAGCCATTGCACCTGGTGGATTTCAGTTCTTGAAAGAAGAGGAAACTGTCAACCATTGCTTTTTGAAATTCCTATAAACATTCTAGTTTAGAAGAGTTCTTTCTTCATTGGTGAAATAAAGATATGACTGCTTATTTTTTTTTAATAAAATCAGATATCAGTATGTATGTGGAAATACTATAATTTAAAGTGACATTATATTATTGACTGGGAAGGAATAACTTAAATTTTTAGAAATTGTTTGGGGCCGGGAGCAGTGGCTCATGCCTGTAATCTCAGCACTTTGGGAGGCTGAGGCGGGCAGATCACCTGAGCTCAGGAGTTCAAGACCAGCCTTGCCAACATGGCAAAACCCATCTCTACTAGAAGTATAAAAATTAGCCAGGCGTGGTGGTGGGCACCTGTAACTCCAGCTACTCAGGAGGCTAAGGCAGGAGAATCACTTGAACCTGGGAGGCTAAGGTTGCAGTGAGCTGAGATCACGCCACTGCATTCCAGCCTGAATGACAGAGTGAGACTCCATCTCAAAAAAAAAAAAAAAAAAAAAAAGAAATTTATTTTGGAATTACAGAGGTTTATTCAGCATGGATAGTGTTTTCCAGATTCTGAAAGTGGATTTGTGTTGTTCATTCTCAGCAATGCCTGTTGTGAACAAAGCTGAACCAACTTTCCCCTAAATATATCAGAGAGAATCAAATTAAGCTCAGGCCTTGTTTAAGCTGGAGGAAAATTTCTCCATTTTAATTTGTGATCCTTTGAAATTGAGTGAGTTTGGCTGGGTGTGGTGACTCATGCCTGTAATCCCAGCCCTTTGGGAGGCTGAGGCGGGTGGAGTGCTTGAGCGCAGGAGCTCTAGACCAGCCTGGGCGTCTAGACCAGATGGTGAAACCCTGTCTCTACAAATAAAAAAAAAAAAAAAAAATGAGTCAGGCACGGTGGTGTGCACTTGTAGTCCCAGCTGCTCAAGAGGCTGAGGTAGGAGGATCACTTGAGCCCAGGAGGTTGAGGCTGCAGTGAGCCGAGATCATGCCACTTTATTCTATCCTGGGCAACAGAGTGAGACTGTATCTCAAAAAAAGAAAAAAGAAAAGAAAAAGAAATTGAATGAGTCATAGACTTAAGTTTAAAACTGCTTCTGGGCAGATTCATAGACAGAGAATATATTAATTGGAAAATCCTTAAATTTTTAAAATAATTTTGTACAGAATTCTGATGATTTTAAATATGGTACTTGTAATCTGGGGTTTTTGGTGATTTATTTCAGACTCTTGAGATACCTTCAACTTGCAGGCCTGTGTAGATAACAGACCCTGTTAATATTCAGAAATTTTCAATTTTCTTTTTTTCTTTTGGGGAGACTGAAATATCTGGTCAGGATTACCATTTGGGTTTTTTTTGTTTTTTGTTTTTTCTTTTGAGACGGAGTCTCGCTCTTTCGCCCAGGCTGGAGTTCATGGTGCGAGTTTGGCTCACTGCAACCTCTGCCTTCTGGGTTCAAGCAATTCTCCTGCCTCAGCCTCCCAAGTAGCTGGGACTACAGGCGCCTGCCACCACGCCCAGCTAATTTTTGTATTTTTAGTAGAGGCAGGGTTTCACCATGTTGGCCAGACTGGTCTTGAACTCCGGACCTCAAATGATTCACCCACCTCTGCCTCCCAAAGTGCAGAGATTACAGGCATGACCCACTGCACCCAGCCCCATTTGGTTTAATAGTATTAACATTGTTCTTAAATATGGGGACAAATAATATTCAAAATGTATGTATTTAGTAGGTTCATCCTATAGGAGGTATATTAGTCTGTTCTCATGCTGCTAATAAAGACATACCTGAGACTGGGTAATTTATAAAGGAAAGAGGTTTAATGGACTCACAGTTCCACATGGCTGGGGAGGCCTCACAATCAGAAGGCAAAGAAGAAGCAAATCCATGTTGTACATGTCGGCAGGCAAGAGGTCATGTGCAGGGGATCTCCCATTTATAAAACCATTGGATCTCATGAGACTTATTCACTATCATGAGAACAGCTTGGGAAAGACCTGCCCCCATGACTCAATTACCTCCCACTGGGTACCTCCCATGACCTGTGGTAATTATGGGAACTACAGTTCAAGATGAGATTTGGGTAGGGACCACAGCCAAACCATATCAGGAGATATTATAATTGGATGATACTGAACACTGGCATGTGATTAAGTATTTGGAAAGAGAAATTTTACCATTGGGTGACTTAATCCTTAGCTTTGCTTTTCCCATGCAGATGGATACATTATTCTGTACCCATTTAGCTTTTGGGGTCTTATTTTTTTCTCATCTGTAAAGTGGTTATTTCCTTCTTCCTAATTTCACAGTATTGTGATGGGTGAATTAAATTCTAAACTCTTTGATCTCCCTAGAAGTAGATAATATTAAATATTTGGTCCTTGTTCCAGCAAGGGAAAAATCCTATGTAAATATGCCTTCACTCAGTATTTTGAGCCTATGACTTGTGAAATGCTGGAGTAGGACTTAATAGGTCTAGTAAGATCAGGTGCGGTGGCTCAGGCCTGTTATCCCAGCACTTTGGGAGGCCGAGGAGGGCGGATCACCTGAGGTCAGGAGTTCCAGACCAGCCTGACCAACATGGTGAAACCCTGTCTCTACTAATAATACAAAAATTAACTGGGCATGGTGGTGCACGCCTTTAATCCCAGCTGCTCGGGAGGCTGAGGTTGCAGTGAGCCAAGATCGCGTCATTGCACTCCAGCCTGGGTGACAAGTGCGAAACTCCGTCTCAAAAAAAAAAAATAGGTCTAATAAGAGCCGGTTGCCACCAGAGAATATTTGTTTCACTAAGTAGATGAAGAATATCTATGCTTTTTCAAAAAAACTATAGTGATAACTCCTGATTACATCCCAGAAGGGGAAATTGGGTGTGTTAGTTAGTTTGTTTGTTTGTTTGTTTGTTTGTTTGTTTGTTTGTTTTGCCAGCAAATCAAGTCTTTGGTAATAGTCCAGATCTCTCTAGCACCCTTTCCTTTTTCTGGGGAGTTCCCCTTTTCCTGGATTTTTATCTCCTCATATCTGATTTGCCTTTTCTGCATGTGTGGAGTTGATATTGTTTTCTGGGTTGAATTCAGTTTTCCTTCCTGCTGTTCCTGACTTTCACTCTTGCAGTGAGCCCCTCCTAGCACCTGTCCTCTTTTACCCTTCAGAATTTTTCCTTTTTTCACTTACTGAATTGTCAGCTACAGATTATTTTTCTCTGTATATATTTGCATTTTTTCTAACTGGCATCTTATTTTTAATGTGACTGTTTGCACTTAACCATCTTTGGTGTTTGCAACACCTCCCAATTTAGTTTCCTCTGCAGATTTAACATCTAGTGAGCCAGTTTCCGGCTTAGAATCTAAGTGGATATTAGCCCATAGAAACCTGAAGCTAATTTTCTTCTTTCTACTACAGTGGTCAATCCAAATGCACTTTGAATTAATTTTCAGCTAGTCTTTATCAACTGTAAAATATACTTTGCTTTCAATTAAATTTTAAAATTACTAGAAACTTCATGGTTCTTTAGTAGAATTAAGCTAATAATTTTCTGATCAACAAAATGCTGTTCCTGGCTGGGCACGGTGGCTCACGCCTGTAATCCTAGCACTTTGGGAGGCCGAGGTGGGCAGATCATGAGGTCAGGAGTTCCAGACCAGCCTGGCCAACATGGTGAAACCCTGTCTCTACTAAAAATACAAAAAAAATAGCTGGGTGTGGTGGCGGGCGCTTGTAATCCTAGCTACTTGGGAGGCTGAGGCAGGAGAATCGCTTGAACCCAGGAAGCAGAGGTTGCAGTGAGCCGAGATCATGCCATTGCACTCCAGCCTGGGCGACAGTGTGAGACTCTGTCTCAAAACAAAACAAAACAAAACAAAAAAACAAAATACTGTTCCTGTAAACCCTGGCATATCTGAAGAATTGAGGTATTTCTTCTTTGAAAGCTAACATTTTTTCCTAATATAAAAGTAATTCATGTTTGTTAGAGAAAAAAGAAGATAAAGGTAATCTAAAGAAAGCCATAGATAGCCACTGTTTATCCATTGGTCTGTTTATCCATTGGTCTGTATTATTTTAGATCTTGTCTAATACCTTTTTTTTGCTTTTATTTTCTGAATTTGGGGAGTTTCTGACATGTACAGAAGGGTATGAGGAACCCCCATGTATCTATCATCCCTGTCCCAGTGATGATTAATATATAGCCAATTCTGCTCCATCTCTACTCCCACCTCTTCCCCTTCCTGTTATTATTATTTGTTATTCAAGACAGTGTCTCACTCTGTCTCCAAGGCTAGAGTGCAGTGACGCAATCACAGCTCACCGCAGCCTCAATCTCCCTGGGCTTAGGTGATCCTCTTAACTCAGCTGGAACCACAGGCGCACACCATCATGCTTGGCTAATTTTTTTGTATTTTTTGCTTTGCCATGTTGCCCAGGTTGGTCTTGAACTCCTGGGCTCAAGTGATCCACCCACCCACCTTGGCCTCTTAAAATGCTAGGATTACAGGAGTGAGCCACTGCCCCTGGCCAAACAATTCTTTAGTATCATCAAGTTTTTGATATTTGTTCAAATCCCCAATTGTGTCATAACTTTCTTAAACAATTTGTTTGAATCTGGACCCAGATAAAGTTCTCAGCTGCAATTAGTTGATGTGGCTTTATACTCTCTTGTTTTTTTGTTTTTTTCGTTTTGGGATGGAGTCTCGCTCTGTCGCCCAGGCTTGAGTGCAGTGGCGTGATCTCGGCTCACTGCAACCTCCGCCTCCTGGGTTCAAGTGATTCTCCTGCCTCAGCCTCCTGAGTAGCTGGGACTACAGGCACCCACCACCATGCCCAGCTTATTTTTGTATTTTTAGTAAAGACAGGGTTTCGCCATGTTGGCCAGGCTGGTCTCGAACTTCTGACCTCAGGTGATCCGCCCACCTTGGCCTCCCAAAGTGCTGGGATTACAGGCGTGAGCCACCGCGCCTGGCCGTCTCTTGTTTAATCTGTAGGTTACTTCCCTAACTTTCTTTGTTCCTTGCAAGTCATTAGTTGGAGAAACTGGGTTATTCTGTAGTTTCCCATAGTCTGTATCTTGCCAATTATATCCTGTGAGATAGTTTATTGTGTTCCTTTGTTCTTTGTGTTTCCAGAAAATTGGTAGTGTGTATTTATTTTAATATAAAAATGAGATTGTACTGTACATGCTATTTTGTATTCTTTTCTTCACTTAATAAAATTTGTACAATCTTGTCATTCTTCTATACCATTATTTTAATGTTTACATAATATTTGAGCTCCTTAATATTGGATCTTTAGTTTGTTTTTAGTCGTTTATGAACAACACAGCTATTAACATTCTTGTAGCTCCATAAATAATTATTTCGACACTAGAATGGTGAAAAGATACCCCAGTGCCACAAACATGTTTGGTTAACAAGAACAGATTTTGTGCTTTAAATGCCATGAAGGTATTTGATGACTTGGGTTTCCTTTACTCTTTTAAGGCAAAATGGGCATATCAAGTTTTTGACCAAAGGAGATAATAATGCGGTTGATGACCGAGGCCTCTATAAACAAGGACAACATTGGCTAGAGAAAAAAGATGTTGTGGGGAGAGCCAGGGGGTAAGTATAGAGGGGAGCATCTCAAACTTTTTATATCACTTGAAGTGTGGCCCTCTCAATCATATTATTTGATCATACACAGTTGAATATAGAGATTTGGTTCTGGTTCCACCAAATCACCCTTGTGTCCTTTGAAAATTTTGCTTCTTAAAAAGTGTCTAAAATTTCAGGTATACTACTCCAAAGGTGAGGAACTGGGTGGGGTGCAATAAAAGAATAGAATACTAGTGATGAGATGGTGAATTGGATGTGACAATTTTAAAAAATGTGTTCACTTATTTGGTTCACTCAAGAAATAGTGGGCACCTTCCATGTGCTCTTACGTCCACACTATGCTAGCCTCTGGGGGTCTAGAGCACTATTAATCCTGCCTCATGAAAGTTACATTTCTTTTTTTTTTTTTCTTTTTTTTGAGATGGAGTCTTGCTCTGTCACCCAGGCTGGAGTGCAATAGCGCGATCTCAGCTCACTGCAGCCTCCGCCTCCTGAGTTCAAGCGATTCTCCTGCCTCAGCCTCCCGAGTAGCTGGGATTACAGGCGCCCGCCACCATGCCCGGCTAATTTTTTTTTTTTTTAGTAGAGATGGCGTTATATTTATATTTCTTAAGAAGTACTAAGTCAATAACTCAAAAGTGTTCATCCAAATTAGTTTTATCATGTTAATTTAATCCATAATATTTCTAGTCTTGAAATTGATGAGGTTGAATGAAATTAAAAAGTTATATTAAGCCTGTTTGTTTCAGATTTTATCAGGAGAACAGTTCAGTGGAGGACAGGAATTGTAAGTTGTTGGTATTAAGGAAGTATGGCATTGTTGCTCCCTTAATGTAATTAATAGTATTAACAATAACTCACGTTTATTAGGGCTTATTGTGTACCAGAGACTCATTCTAAGTGCTTTACAAGTATTACCACATTTTAACCTCAGAACAACCCTAATATTCCCATTCTACAGATGAGGAAACATAAATGAGTTAGGTTATGTATCTAAGATTATACTGATGGTCGTAAGTGGCTGGCTGCATAGTCCACCTTACCATCATACAAAAATTACTAGCGTAACATTTCTGAAATGGATAGTTGCTAATTCTCACTAGTTAGATGCCACATGGCACTTTTGCCACTGTCAGAACCTCTGCTCCTTTTGACCTAGAACAGACTGTATGGATACAGAGTTATTACACCAGTAAGCAGGTCTGAGATACGCAGTTCCCATAGAGAAGGAAGTATGAGTTGCTAAGTGAAAGCTTCCTCAGTTACAGCACGAGAGATGCTCAGTTTGGGGCCAAAGAGATCAGATCAGAACAGGTATCATTGTGCTTTGCCTGCTGCAGAGCTGTGGTTGTTATTGTTGTTTTAATATGTCCCCGCTTTAAGGAACTTTTCCTTTGATGGAGCTAAAAATACTTTTATAATCCAAATTAGGTCATCAGTGCTTCTGAGAAATACTAGTCCCCATCTTCCTCAGTTCCCAAGATGCTGCTAATGTGATTATTTAAACTCTCCAATCTCTTTGAGTCTTTGTTTTTCCTCAAATTATAAATGTACAGATTCATGTAGAAACATAAGAAAATATCAATAATCAAAAAGCAAAGTCACTTCTTGTCTCCTTTTTCTTGATCTCCATAAATATTTACTATTAACTTTTTGGTTTATATTAGCCTTTGTGTGTAGAGATAAAAATATTAATGAGTACTTTTTTTTGCCTTTTTTTTTTTTGGAGACAGTCTTGCTCTGTCACCCAGGCTAGAGTGTGGGTGGCATGATCTCAGCTCACTGCAACCTCTGCCTCCTGGGCTTAAAAGATTCTTGTGCCTCAGCCTCCCGAGTAGCTGGGATTACAGGTGTGTGTCACCACACCCAGCTAATTTTTTGTATTTTTAGTAGAGATGGGGTCTCGATATGTTGCCCAGGCTGGTCTCAAACTCCCAGCTTCAAATGATCCACCTGTCTTGGCCTCTCAAAGTGCTGAGATTACAGGCATGAGCCACGGCACCCAGCCCTAGTATGTACATATTTATACAAACATAAAACGCATTTTGTGTGTGAAAGGAGAATGGTCACACTATCTTATAACCCCTTTTTTACCCAAAAAATTACTAGCGTATTTACAAATCAATATATTTATCATCATATCATCATTTTCAAAGCTGTATGCTATTCCACTGTATGGAAAGACCATATACTCTATCCTATGGATAGAACATATAGATTTTATTCAGTCAGTCTCCTGTTGTTAGGTATTCTGATTGTTTCCAGCTTTTTTATTGCGAACAATGTTATGATAAATATCCTTATTATGTATATCTCAGCATTTCTGCCCAATCATTCTTCAGAGTAAATTCCTAGAAGTGGAATTACTGGGTGAAGCATACTCATATGTTAAGGCTTTTGACAAATTTTGCCAAGCCTGTTTCATTTATACTCCTGCTAGTACAACTGAGTGTTCCTTTATCTGGGCCTTCTTTTTTTTTTCTTTTCTTTTTTTTGAGGCAGAGTCTTGCTCTTTTGCCCAGGCTGGAGAGTCTTGCTCTGTTGCCCAGGCTGGAGTGCAGTGGAGCAATCTCAGCTTATTGCAACCTCTGCCTCTCAGGTTCAAATGATTCTCATGTCTCAGCCACCCAAGTAGTTGGGATTACAGGTGTGTGCCACAATTCCTGGCTAATTTTTTATATTTTTAGTAGAGATGGGTTTTCGCCATGTTGGCCAGGCTGGTCTGGAACCCCTGGCTTCAAGTGACCTGCCTACCATGGTCTCCTAAAGTGCTGGGACCACAGGCATGAGCCACCACATCTGGCCTGGGTCTTGATTCTTAAGTGTTTATTACAGCTCTGTCTGCTCACTCTGGCCCATTGGTTGGGTAAAAGATGCATCATCCTACGAAAGGTTAGGGGAGCTTTCACTCAACTTGTCTTCTGGACAATTTTTGAAAAAATTCTGGGCTGGGTGCGGTGGCTAACGCCTGCAATCCCAGCACTTTGGGCGGCTGAGGCGGGCGGATCACAAGGTCAGGAGATCGAGACCATCCTGGCTAACACAGTGAAACTCCGTCTCTACTAAAAATACAAAAAAATTAGCTGGGCGTGGTGGCGGGTGCCTGTAGTCCCAGTGACTCTGGAGGCTGAGGCAGGAGAATGGCATGAACCCGGGAGGTGGAGCTTGCAGTGAGCCGAGATCACGCCACTGCACTCCAGCCTGAGTGACAGAGCGGCACTCTGTCTAAAAAAAAAAAAAAAAGAAAAAGAAAAGAAAAAATTCCACACTATTTAATGCTATTTTTAAAATCCCAACATAGAAACTATAGACCATTTTGAGCTGTTACTTAAAAAAATGTAATAGTCTAGTACTCTCTGCATTAAGGAAGTTTCTGTAGAAAAAAAAAACCTAAGACATGAACAGCAGAAGCACAGAATCTTAACTATATAAATTTACTTTCCATTGATTGTACCTCTACTGAGCTTGACACGTAATGGAACATAACACTTTCTTTTGTGGAAATTGTGTTTATAAAACACTAAACTGGTATTTCAAAGTCAGGATGTACACAAATCTTAAGAATAGAGCTTTTCCACAGGCAAGTCTGTTACTGTAGTACATACGTCTTCATGCTTTTTTTTTTCTTGAGACAGAGTCTCACTCTATCACCCAGGCTGGAGTGCAGTGGCAGAATCATGGCTCACTGCAACCTCCACCTCCCAGGCCCAAGCAATCCTCCCACCTCAGCCTTCTCAGTAGCTAGGATCACAGGTGCATGCTATCACACCTGGCTAATTTTTTTAATTTTTGTAGAGATTGGCTCTCCTTGTGTTGCCCAGGCTGGTCTTGAACTCCTGGGCTCAAGCAGTCCTCCACCTTGGCCTCCCAAAGTCCTGGGGTTACAGGTGTGAGCCACTGTGCCTGGCTTCCTTTATGCTTTTTTTTTTTTTGAGATGGAGTTTTGCTCTTGTTGCCCAAGCTGGAGTGCAATGGTGCTATCTTAGCTCACTGCAACCTCTGCCTCCCAGGTTCAAGGGATTCTCCTGCCTCAGCTTCCTGAGTAGCTGGGATTACAGCTTCCTGAGTAGCTGGGATTAGCCATGCCCAGCTAATTTTTTGTATTTTCAGTAGAAACAGGGTTTCACCATGTTAGCCAGGCGGTCTCGAACTCCTGACATCAGGTGATCTGCCCGCCTCGGCCTCCCAAAGTGCTGGGATTACAGATGTGAGCCACTGCACTCCGCCTCCTTTATGCATTAAAAAAAAAAAAAATTTTTTTTTTTTTGAGACAGAGTTTCACTCTTGTTGCCCATGCAACAGCATGATCACGGCAACCCCCACCTCCCAGGTTCAAACAATTCTCCTGCCTCAGCCTCCCAATTAGCTGGGATTACAGGCATGTGCCACCATGCCCACCTAATTTTTTGTATTTTTAGTAGAGATGGAGTTTCACCATGTTGGCCAGGCTGGTCTCTCTCTTTTTTTTTAACAGCTGCACACTAAAAAAATTTTATGTTGAGGCCTAAGGCTCTAAATTAAAATAATTTAAAAAAACTTTTATTGAGATATAATTCACATATATTAGAATATAAAATTCACCATCTTAAAGAGTACAATTCAGTGGGTTTCAGTATATTCACAAGATTGTGCAACCATCACCACTATCTAATTCCAGAACATTTCTATCACCCCAAAAATAAAACTCAGTACTCATTAGCAGTCACTCCCCATCCTCTACTTCCTGTAGCCTCGGACAGCCACTAATCTGCTTTCTGTCTTTGTGCATTTCCCTATTCTGGACTTTTCATATAAGCAGAATCATACAATGCGTAGTCTTTTGTGTCCAGCTTCTTTCACCTAGCATAATGTTTTTAAGGCTTATTCATGTCGTAGCATGTAATAAAAACAATTTTAGAAAATGAAACTAATACTGAACCAATTAAGTATTAATAAAGGTGATTTCTTTCTAAACTCAGGAAGTTGAAAAATTCAAGAGCACCCATTAGTTAAGAAGGAATAGAAAGCAGCAGGTGAAAAGGGTGAAAGATTGGCAGAGGATCGGGGAACAGAAATGTTGAAAATGGAAAGAAGAATTAAAAATATATAAGGAAGGAGTAGAGTAATTGAGCTCTCTGTTAACTGAAATCAGTTTTATGGATAAGACTTTTTGAATGTACTTCTTACTTGAAACAAGTCATTCTAGAAACAAGATGATCCTTTTCTGGTCATCGCATATTCTCTTACTCTCTCATTTAGTTGCTGCTGGATTTCAGACTTCCCAGATATAGACCCCTTTTGATATTTGACAGAATTGTGCTGGGGTCTCTTCTTAATTTTTGTGGCATCTTTTCTTTACTGTTTGTTTGGCCTTTTGTCTAATGATCTCTATGAGCATCAGGAGACAGTGCTTTCTTCTGAGGCTACTTCCTCAGCAGTACCTTTGATCCCAAGAATTCCCACGGAAATGTATTTAACTATATGAAATGCATTTTACCTTCTAGATATTAACTTGGCACAGGCTAGTGTTGGAGTTGGCTTTGTGGATGGCATTCATTTTACTTACTTTAAACCTCCTGCTTATTAGCAACTCTGCTTTAGCACATGAGTTTATCTGAGCAAAATAGGCAAAAAGTGCAAATGGTTTGAATTTAAGATGACTGATGATAGCAGCATTATACACTTGATTATCAGCTCTTTGCTTATCTCTGTCCATGGAGGGTAACAGTGGTACAGACAATTAAATCTTTTGTTTGACTTTGAACTGCCTCGTCATATTCTGGGATCCTTAGATCTTGCTTATATTACTCCTAAAGACCAAGTTGCTTTCATTTCACTTACAGTGGGCAAAGAAAAGCCAACCTTTAAAAAAAAGTTTCAGGTTGTGTGTGGTGGCTCACGCTTGTAATCTCAGCACTTTAAGAGGCCAAGATGGGAGAACCGCTGGAGCCCAGGAGTTTGAGACCAGCCTGAGCAAGGTAGTGAGATGCTGTCTCTACAAAAAAATTTAAAAATTAGCCAGGCATGGTGGCGTGCACTTGTAGTCCCAGCTCCTTGGGAGGCTGAGGTGGGAGGATTGCTTGAGCCCAGGAGTTCAAGGCTGTAGTGAGCTATGATCACACCACTGCATTCTAGCCTGGGTGCCAGAGTAAGATCATGTATCAAAAAAAAAATTTTTTTTTTTAAATTCCATGGATTATTCACAAGCAGGCTATGTGATTGCTGGGAGCTGAGGATTGTGGTTCTTTGGGCATAGATATCATTGCATGGAGGTAACAGAGTCTCTGTGTATTAGAATGGCTGCTTATTGATCATCAGATCAGAATTAGCAGCTTAATGTTTTAGTAGAAATCACAGATGCTTTTATAGCTCTTAATCTGTACTTTACTGTGAGGCATTTGCCTTTATGTTCTTAAATTAGGTGATTTACTGAAAGCTATTGCTTTTATGGAAGTGTTAAAAATGAGACAAAAGAAATAACAGTTACTGCATTAAAAAGGAAAAATAATATATATATATAAATATATATAAAATGTAGAAAACCTCTATCCATCCTCTTAGAGCTTAGCCGTGCCATTCTTTAACGACTGTTACTTTTCAGCTCTTGGAGATCCCAGGGGTTGAGATGAAAGCATGAACCCTAAGAAGGGATATTATTTGCCATCACACACCTATATGTGCATCTCACACTAAAATTGTACTTCTTGAATTTTGATGTACAGGAGCGTTATTTGGGCCCCACCTTTCAGAAATTCCCTGGCTTAGTTGGTCTGGGAAAGATACAAGAATCTGCATTTTTATTTATTTTTTTTATTTTTTATTTTTATTTTTTGAGACAGAGTCTCACCCTGTCGCCAGGCTGGCATGTAGTGGCACAATCTCGGCTCAGTGCAACCTCCACCTCCCGGGTTCAAGCGATTCTGCTGCCACAACCTCCTGAGTAGCTGGGATTACAGGCGTGCACCACCATGCCCAGCTAATTTTTATATTTTTAGTAGTGACAGGGTTTCACCATGTTGGTCAGGATGGTCTCGATCTCCTGACCTCATGATCCACCCGCCTCAGCCTCCCAAAGTGCTGGGATTACAGGCGTGAGCCACCGTGCCCAGCCAAGAATCTGCATTTTTAACAAGCCATCAAGCGGTTGTGACAGAGGAGGTCTAGGCTTTAAGAAACACCAGTGTATGGAATGGGAGTTTGGGGATGGGGCAAGAGAGACAGGTCTCAGTGATCCTGCTAGAAGGGAGAGGACAGAGAGGGGTGAAGACAAGAGACAGGAAGTGAGGGGAGTTCTTTTTTTTTTTTTTTTCCCAAGGCAGAAGAATTTTTCTTAGTACAGAACAAAATGAAAAGTCTCCCATGTCTACTTCTTTCTACACAGACACGGCAACCATCCGATTTCTCAATCTTTTCCCCACCTTTCCGCCCTTTCTATTCCACAAAACCGCCATTGTCATCATGGCCCGTTCTCAATGAGCTGTTGGGTACTCCTCCCAGACCGGGTGGTGGCCGGGCAGAGGGGCTCCTCACTTCCCAGTAGGGGCGGCCGGGCAGAGGCGCCCCTCACCTCCCGGACGGGGCGGCTGGCCTGGCGGGGGCTGACCCCCACCTCCCTCCCGGACGGGGTGGCTGCTGGGCGGAGACGCTCCTCACTTCCCAGACGGGGTGGCTGCCGGACGGAGGGGCTCCTCACTTCTCAGATGGGGTGGCTGCCGGGCGGAGGGACTCCTCACTTCTCAGAGGGGGCGGTTGCCAGGCAGAGGGTCTCCTCACTTCTCAGACGGGGCGGCCGGGCAGAGACGCTCCTCACCTCCCAGACAGGGTCGCGGCCGGGCAGAGGCGCTCCTCACATCCCAGACGGGGCGGCGGGGCAGAGGCGCTTCCCACATCTCAGACGATGGGCGGCCAGGCAGAGACGCTCCTCATTTCCTAGATGGGATGGCGGCCGGGCAGAGACGGTCCTCACTTTCCAGACTGGGCAGCCAGGCAGAGGGGCTCCTCACATCCCAGACGATGGGCAGCCAGGCAGAGACGCTCCTCACTTCCCAGACGGGGTGGCGGCCGGGCAGAGGCTGCAATCTCGGCTCTTTGGGAGGCCAAGGCAGGCGGCTGGGAGGTGGTTGTAGCGAGCCGAGATCATGCCACTGCATTCCAGCCTGGGCACCATTGAGCACTGAGTGAACGAGACTCCGTCTGCAATCCCGGCACCTCGGGAGGCCGAGGCTGGCGGACCACTCGCGGTTAGGAGCTGGAGACCAGCCCGGCCAACACAGCGAAACCCCGTCTCCACCAAAAAAATACGAAAACCAGTCAGGCGTGGCGGCGCGCGCCTGCAATCGCAGGCACCGGGCAGGCTGAGGCAGGAGAATCAGGCAGGGAGGTTGCAGTGAGCCGAGATGGCAGCAGCACAGTCCAGCTTCGACTCGGCATCAGAGGGAGACCGTGGAAAGAGAGGGAGAGGGAGACCGTGGGGAGAGGCAGAGGCAGGGGCAGGGGCATGGTCAGGGGCAGAGGCAGAGGCAGAGGCGAGTTCTTAAAGGGAAGTGAAATGTGTCAAAAACAAAATGTGTGTTCTTCAAGTTTGCCTGAGGCTTTGATGGTGTAGATATTATGTGGGAGGTAATTTCTGTTTGTGCTGTCTTTGGCATGGTCTGGGCTGTTTTAAAGTGTGCAAAGGTCAGCCTCCACTTCAGCTCAGCGTCCCTATGACAGGCTCTAGCTTAGTACAATATTGCCAGTCCGCTCTGGAGTCCAGCGATAGAAGAGGAGGATAAAGAAGAAAGTTTTACATTTGCTAACCACCTATTCCGCCCACATCGATGGTACCCTGCTAATTTTCTCTTTCTGCCGTGAATGCTTATGATGTCAAAGTAGTCTTTTGCATGGAGAGGAATTTAAGCCCTGGGAGAAAATAGGATTTCCCCAAGAGAAAGCAAAAAGAAAAGGCCCGGACATTCAGACATTCAATCAGGCAGGATGTACTGGATATCTCCTATGTGTAAGGCACTATGTTGACCTTGAGGATACAGGGGGAACAAGATAGGCATCATTGTTGCCTTTATAGAGCTTCTAGTTTGGTAGGGGAGACACACATGTATCGAATCTGTTGTACAACTAATTATTTAAGTAAAAGTATGATAATTATTATAAAGACCTCAAAGGAAATGTATCAGGTGCTGTAAGATAATTTAACAGGTGGTTTTGCTTAGTTTGAGGGGAAAAACTTTAGGGGCATGAGGAATTAGAAAGAGCTAGTGAAAAGAAAGTGTAGCAGCCAAAGAGTTAGGTGAAGAAACAAATCTGTGGTACATTAAGAAACCAAGAAGGAGGAATTTCCAGAGCATATTTGTGGTCATGAAAGTCAAATGCTGCCAAGATGGAAAGGAAGATGGGAGTTGAGACTGGTTTGCTACATATGGTGATGAAAACTGTTCTAGAAAAGTTTCAAGTTAATAGGACCAAACACAGCTTACAGGTGATTAAAAAATGAGAAGGTGGTGAAATCCTAAGTACTATAATGAGCTCTTACACTCACTTTTTGGCCACTTAACATGAAGTACTTTGTAATATTCTGGCTGTGCTTGCTTTGTCTCCCCAGCTAGATTGACAGCTTCCTGAAGGTTATGATGATAAACCTAGCCCCTAGCACTGTATCAACATGTAGCATTAGAGTCACCACCTGGAGATCTAAGACCTTGGCTCTATCTGGTGCTGGTTCTGCCACACAGAAACCATGTACCTTGGGCATGATCATCTGTTTCCTCATCTCTAAAATGGTGATATTCCTAACTTTCCTATCACTTGGGCTTTTGCAAGGATCAAATAGGGCAGTATATAGAAATGGACTTTGTGAATTGAAAATTAGTATTCTATAGAAGATATTGATAATATTCAGTGAGTGACAACAGCTGCTTTACATCGGAAATTCTGTGATAATCAGTTTTTTGTTTGTTTTAGATTTGTTCCTTATATTGGAATTGTGACGATCCTCATGAATGACTATCCTAAATTTAAGGTAAGAGTCTGTATTATTTGTTTTATTAAAAAATGTAATCTTTTGGGCCAGGCACAGTGGCTCAAGCCTGTAATCCCAGCACTCTGGGAGGCCGAGGTGAGTGGATCGCTTGAGCCCAGGAGTTCAAGACCAGCCTGGGCAACATAGCGAAACCCCGTCTCTATTAAAAAAAAAAAAAAATTATTAGCCTGGGCGCAGTGGCTCACGCCTGTAATCCCAGCACTTTGGGAGGCTGAGGCAGGCAGATCACCTGAGGTCAGGAGTTCGAGAACAGCCTGGTCAATATGACAAAACCCTGTCTTTACTAAAAATACAAAAAAATTAGCCAGGAATGGTGGTACACACCTGTAATCCCAGCTACTGGGGAGGCTGAGGCACGAGAATTGCTTGAATATGATAGGTGGAGGTTGCTGCTGCACTCCAGCCTGGGTGACAAAGTGAGACTGTCTCAAAAAAAAAAAAAAAAGAAAATTATTTAAAGAAATGTGATATTTTGCTTAGTATTGGAAACTTTTAAATGGATTATAGTTAAAAGATGAAAGAATAATTGGGTAGTTTAGCGATATATTCACAAAGACCAATTTGTTAATTAACTCTTAGAACCTCTGAACTTTTCAACGCTTCTCTGACTTGTGGTTCTGTGTTTATTTTCTAGTATGCAGTTCTCTTTTTGCTGGGTTTATTCGTGCTGGTTCATCGTGAGTAAGAAGCCTGCCTTGCTGTTCCTGGGAAGATGCCATAGTTTTCGTTACTGGATGTTTGGAGTAGATACTGGTCTGTGATTGGTGGAATGGAGAACACACGTGTTGGTGCTTCTGGGTAGCACTGGTTTGCATTAGTTTATGTTTCCATGCCAGAGTTTGTGTGGGCGGGCGCATGTGCACCACAGAGTGCACTCGAGGGGACTTTCAGTCACAGGATTTCATAATTGTCATTGTCACACTTTCAAATTTTTGTACATCAGTGAATTTTTTTATATTAAAAGGTTGAGCCAAAGCCCCCAGTGTTTGTATTTTGAAGCCAAGCTTCACTTCTAAAGTGCCTACAGAGACTTGTAAATGAAAATGCAGCTCTGCACGAGTTTGAAACCGTCATACCTCCTTCTATTAGGAATGGCATATACTGAGGTGGTCGTAAGTCTTAACTTCTAAAATTTTAAATAAAAGACTTTGCACATTGAACCCCTTATCCCTGAATTGTGTTTGTCGGGAAAGCTTCTGAAATTTGCCTTCCTTGGCTGGTTCTTAGTACCCCTGGGGGATATAAAGGCTTGGTGTGAACAGTCCTTCAGCTAAGAAGGTTGCTCTGATACTAACAACTAGTTTTTTTGTTTGTCTGTTTTGCGTGTGTGTGTGTGTGTGTGTGTGTGTGTGTGTGTGTGAAGCAAAAGTAGCCACTGACAGTCATAGGAAATCTCTTAGTCATAAAATTGATTCTTCCCATGACTCAGATGTGTATAAAACCCAGCTAGTGTTGCTGAGAGGTTCAGAAAATCTCACTTGGTTATAAAAAGTCATAACCCTTTCTACACTTGAGACATTTCAGTCCTTTCTACACCAAGGCAGTGTGCATTAGCATCTAGAGGCAGAGGAAAGGGCTGGAGGACAAGCATTCTGCTTGGCGTCTTTAAAGTCTCATTTGTCTGAACCTGTTCTCTCAAGTGCCTGACTTTGCATTTCTCTAATGCAGACTTAAAGCAAGCAGTTTAAAGTAGTGAGTGCACAACCCAATTGTATGTTTTCTTTTAATATCAAGGCAGTGAGGGAAATAGGGAGTATAGAGTAAACCAATATCTTTTGAGCACAAAATACACTTAATTCTATCTGTTCTCTTGTTGTATTAATGTGAAATCTTAAAGTGAGTTTTCTGTGTTAGGCTACTTGAACAGTTTCTATTATTTGTTCAACTGCAGTGGAAATCAGTCTATGCCGTAATGCTAATGGCATGAGAACAGGGACAATTACTCTTCTGAAGCCCTCCCCTGTGGAGAATAGTACCTTCCTAAACCCATTAACCAGGCTTTAGCCTTCCAACTTTGGATATGGGCTCTTAATATTCTCAACAGAGTATGAAACTTGGCAAATCACTGCTAACAAATGCTTTTTTGAACCTGTCTGTGAGGCGTATATAGTACTTATATTTTCTCATGAACCAGAAGCTGAACATTCCCTGTGTGGAATAGCAGGAAATTGCCATTTATTCCATTTTTTCCCCCCTCATCACCTGTGGAAGATGCAGTTCACTGCTCAGCCTAATCAGTACACTGGTTTTTGTACCAGCCTTTCTAGGACTACTCTAGGGGAGAAGCAGTGTGCTTTGCTGGCCAAGGTTGGGATCCTAGGGTTCTCTGTGATCCTAGCTTGCCTGAATGTAAACATCCTTGTACTTGTATCTTCATCTACTCCAGATTTCTCCTTATAAATGTATTGGGAAGAAAACATTAATACTTTTTTCCCTTGCATATATTCGCAACCAGTTTTATATAAGTATTATTTTTCCTCCTTTCCTGGATGCTGTAGTTGCAAGCAACAACTAAGTTTCTCTGAAAAGGTAATCAAATCATTTAATAATATTTGAATCACTCCATTAGCCAAAAATAAAAAGATTACTTGTGGGGAGGGGTATTATATTCCCAATTTTTATCTTGTCTAGTTTAGTGCTAAACATAAGACTTAAAATGGGAGATTTTATTAGCAAATATATCCTAAAAGCTCTTTGCAAATGTAAGAAATGCCAGAGAGGTTTTATTTGCTAATTGAATGGCGTGATAAGCTCTTTGAGATTTGGCAGGGCAAGTGGAGAATTGGGAGGGCTCAACCATTGTGAGTGAAAGGAATTGAACAAGAGTATGAAAATTGATCAAACTTCAAATGAGAAATTGATAATGGGATTATCTCTTTGGCTGTTACTTGTCTGCTCTTATACCGCCTGCTAATCAATCTTTTTAAATTATTTCCAATGTCTGTCCTCAGTTCTAGTTCCATGTCTCCCTTTCCTCTGGACACTTCCACTTGATTGTCCCGTCTTTAAACTCAAGTTCCTGAAAACTTCCCCTCCATATTTCATGTTTTCTGTGAAGGAATATTCACCTAGATTTGTCATTTCCCTACCATATCTAGCCACGTACTAAGTCCTCCATTTACCCCATCATTCCATTCTCATTGCCATCACCTGAATCCAGAAATACTTATTCAGTGGCTCCCTGTTGCTTGTGTACTGGTCACCCTGCAGTGTGCCAGTCTGTGCCTGTTTTGGATAATTACCACCTGTTATTAATACTTAGTTTTAGCCTGCCTTTTACTTTCAGAAATGCTTCTTGTTTGGACCATAAATTTTGTGTTCATACTACCCTTTCCCTACATTGAATTCAAACTTTGAATTCCACCAACAGTAAGCATCCTTATGAGTGCAAACATCCTTGTACTTATGTCCTCATCTATCCAATCCCTCCTCCTTATACACTTATTGGGAGGAAGACATTAATACTTTACTCACTCGGGCTGGGCGTGGTGGGTCATGCCTGTAATCCCAGCGCTTTGGGAGGCCGAGGTGGGTGGATCACTTGATGTCAGGAGTTTGAGACCAGCCTGGCCAACATGGTGAAACCCTGTCTCTACTAAAAATACAAAAATTAGCTGGCCCTGATGGCATGTGCCTGTAATCCCAGCTACTTGGGAGGTGGAGGCAGGGGAATGGCTTGAACCTGGAAGGCAGAGGTTGCAGATTGTGCCACTGCATTCCACCCTGGGTGACAGAGACTCTATCTCAGAAAAAAAAAAAAAAAAAAATTTCATTCACAACCAGTTGTGTAAAAGTATTATTTTTCCTCCTTTGCTGAGTGTTTCCACTTGTATTATGTCATCTTATTTCTGTTTATCTGAGTCTTACCGTCTTCACAAGTTCTGCTGTCACTCAGCATTTGCACCCTCACACTGTTTGTTTAAATTTGTGGATATGGCCTCGAGGTCCTTGGCAGATTGTAAGCTCCTCCAGGACAGGAGCCCCATTTCATAGACACTGTTCTGTCTTTCCTCAGTAGCCTGAAACAGCATCTATTAAATGTTCAGTACGATCATGCATTGTAGTCAGAGGCAGTAGCTTCAGTTAGCATTGTTGTTGAGCTGTTATTTGGAGGCAGAGCATATGAATCATTAAAGTGATCTGTACTTTCCTGTTATTTAGTAAGTACATTTTCTTGGTCTTGCCAAATTTGAATCTGAAAACTTTCTCTCTCCATGGTTCCATTTAAACAGCATGTACCCTTCCCAGATTTTTAACTGTTAATCCTGCTTCCTTCTTTTTTGTGTGTGTCCTTAGGCTTAGGCTGTTGTGTCTTCTTTCTTGATGGGAGAAGTATTGGCATGTATCATTTTTCTTAAGGAATCACAGGCTTCCTTCTTAGAGACCCAGGGCTTGGAATAGAGAAATTCTCTGTTATCCTGAGTACATTTCTTAGTATTTGCATAAGCCTTTTACCAAGTCTAGCTAACCTCTCAGAACGTGGCATGGAGGCTGATTTCAGAATCTGAGGGCTGGGCCTCTTCTTATGACATTTTCCACTGTTAAACTTCAGAGATGACCCAGCTGGTTCTAGCTAGGTAAATGGATGTCTACCTTCATCAAGCAGCTCTTTCACTCAGGATGGCCTGTTCAGGTTGTTTTGTAGCCAGGTATATCTTCACCACTACTGTCTCTTGCTAGAACAGTAAGTAATACAAGGTAGGCTTTCAGAAGTAAAATAGCAAATATGACCCTTCACACACAACTATGGTGGGTGTGAAGCCACCATAGTTATTGCCATTCAATTAGCAAATAAAACCTCTCTGGATATAGAAAGAATGCTGTGTAACCAAAAAGCATTATCAAAACTAGAATGCGCAGGGCTTACCAAAAAATGGTGAAGATGTTGCCTTCCATGTGTCATTCTAGGTCCTAAGGATTTTTCCAGCTGCACTCTCACCAGACATCACATTCTTGCACCCTGGACGTTGGTCTTACGGTACAGACATTCTGTCTTTGTTTATGCTGGTCACTCTGCCTGGAGTGCCTGGTCACTTCCCTACCTACTGAAAGCTTTCTCATTCATTTAGCAGACATTTATTGAGCATCTGCTCTGTGCCAGATTTTGGGCTAGGCCCTGGGGATACCAAGATGATGGATAAGACTATGTCCCTCCTGGTCAGTACCTTAACAGGGGCAATGGACATTAACAGATTTTTCCACATAGGATCTTAAGTATAATTATATTCTTCCCACAATCACAAAAAAATAAGTAAATAAATAAAAATAAGTGCAATGATAGAGATGCTCAGGGAGCTCCAGAGAGGAGTGTTTCTTACTCCGGATGGAGCTTCTGAGCCCATGTCATGCTTCCTGCTCTGCACTGTCCCGTACTTTGTTCGTGCTCCTCTCGAACATTGCCCTCAGAGTGGTTTGCCTTATGTGTGTCTCTCTCCCCCACCAGAGGGTCGGCTCCTGGAGGGCATTAAGACAGAGTCAGTCTCTGATTCATCCTTTGATATCTGCTAGTCCCTATTGCAGTGCTTTGCATATTTTAAACTTATTTATACTCTCTTGTTCATAAAGATACCTCCAGTACTATGTGATGAAATAGAAAATAATTGAAGAATTCAGGTTGAGAGAAATGTGGGAGGAGAAAAGGATGAAATCAGAGGTGAGGAGGCCGGGCACAGTGGCTCACGCCTGTAATCCCAGCACTTTGGGAGGTTGAGGCAGGCAGAACACTTGAGGTCAGGAGTTCAAGACCATCCTGGGCAACATAGTGAAATGCCGTTTCTACTAAAAATACAAAAATTAGCCAGGCGTAGTAGCCATCACTTGTAATCCCAGCTACTTGGGAGGCTGAGGCAGGAGAATCTTTTGAACCTGGGAGGCGGAAGTTGCAGTGAGCCAAGATCGCACCACTGCACTCCAGTGTGGGCGACAGAGCAAGAGTCCATCTCAAAAAAAAAAAAGAAAAAGAAAGTAAAGAAAGAAATCAGAGGTGAGGTTAGTACCTACAGGACATATCAAAAGATTCTGTTGTCTACTGGAATAGATCCATAGCTTTGGCTCTCAGTCCTTAGCTGCTAATGCAAAGAGGTTCGGAACTAGTCATTTATGTGCTTTATGGAATGGGTATAAAATGAAATTAAAAGAAAAAACTTATAATGTATCTGAAAACCAAGAAATTTCTTAACTGTGCTGCGTGACTTTTTTTTTTTACAATAACCCCTGTACTAATTAGTCTAATGATAGAGCTATTTCAGCGAATGTTCCAGTGTAGGTATAGTTCGGCAACTTTTGCAGAAAAGGTACTTCACAAAAGACCATCTACCCATCTAAACCAGGAATCTTCAACTTTCCTGTAGAACAGCGTTCCTTAATCTTAAAACTCATGGCCTCTTTTGGGAAACAAAAATCTCATACCTCCTCTTCATTCTGAGAAACACCCTTCCACCGCGCCAGTCTATAATATCCAACCTCTTATCCTCATCAGCCAAGAGTATTTGATCTTGCGTTCTCTTAAGTTTGTATTATAGAAACGATAATAACTTCTTTCCCATATACAG
The DNA here is from genome assembly GCF_000001405.40 of Homo sapiens. Lineage (NCBI taxonomy): Eukaryota > Metazoa > Chordata > Mammalia > Primates > Hominidae > Homo > Homo sapiens. Next base: position 84,664,152 of record NC_000015.10, on the reverse strand, counting down.
TTATTATTATATTGAATATGACTTTCAAACTGTATATTCTATCCTTGTTCTACCAATCTTAGGCATTTCTGAAATTCCACCTACTCTTTTTTTTTTTTTTTGACACGGAGTTTCACTCTTGTCGCCCAGGCTGGAGTGCAATGGAGCAATCTTGGCTTACTGTAACCTCTGTCTCCTGGGTTCGAGTGATTCTCCTGCCTCAGCCTCCCAAGTAGCTGGGAATACAGGCATCTGCCACCACACCCAGCTAGGTTTTTGGTATTTTTAGTAGAGACAGGGTTTCACCATGTTGGCCACGCTGGTCTCAAACTCCTGAGCTCAGGTGATCCACCCGCCTAGGCCTCCCAAAGTGTGAGGATTACAGGTATGGGCCACTGTGCCCAAATTCCACCTACTCTTTTTTTTTTTTTTTTTTTTGTTTGTTTGTGAGACTCCGCACTTTGCCTAGGCTGGAGTGCCATGGAGCAATCTCCACTCACTGCAACCTCCGCTTCCTGGGTTAAAGCAGTTCTCCTGTCTCAGCCTCCCAAGTAGCTGGGATTCAGATGCTCACCACCATGCCCAGCTAATTTTTGTTATTTTTACTAGAGACGGGGTTTCACCATGTTGGCCAGGGTGGTCTTGAACTCCTGACCTCAGGTGATCCGCCCACCTCGGCCTCCCAAAGTGCTGGGATTACAGGCGTGAGCCACTGTGCCCGGCCCCAACCTACTCTTATTAAGAATCATTTCTCTAAAACTGTTACTTTAATTGGCCTGTCTACTTAGATTGGTAAGCTGTATTCCAGATTTAATTCAAGGAGTCTAGTTAGAAGAATTTATACTAGACTTAATGTCAGGCAAGTAAGTAAATTGGCTAGCATCAAGCTTTGATCAAAGCTCTCAGCCTGACAACTTATTTAAGCCAAAATAGAATGCTGTGTAGAATCCTTTTTCTTGGAATTGGTCAAGAGTTGAGGTAGATGGGCTGACATTTTAGTTTATCAATTTTTGATGTAATAGGCATTTTTGCCAGAGCCAGGCACTGTTGTGTCAACACCATGGCTGTTATCCAGGGAACTTTTTCCCCCTCTGAGATGGGCTTCATATTTAAAGCAGGCTTTGCTTTTCCCAGGTCGAGCTAATAATAGTGAGTATTTAGAATATGCCAGGGGCTCTTCTAAGTGCTTTATAGTTTATAACAAACTTTTACCTTCTCTATTTAATGAACCTTCTAAATGACCTTCATTTTATAAAAGAGAGAAACCAGGAGAAGTTCAGGGATTTGTCCAGAGTTTTCTGGTCCATGCATGGCAGAGCCAGATTTCAAGTCTGTTGCTTTTACCATGTCACAATGCTGGATGTCATAACCCAGTCCTTTTACCTTTGTAAAGTCTATTGAAATTATTTTATTTGCAATAAATTCCACAATTGCAAAGCCCTTGGGAATTCTTCTTTAGAGGCTCTAGGTTTTTCTTGTGCAGAATTGCTCAGATTATTAGTCTCTTAGAAATAGTGAGATTCTGTGGCAGATTTCCAAGCATTTAAACCTCTTTGGAGATTAAAGAGTATTCATTCCAGTTACAGAAATGTCCCCTAACATATGTGAATATTACTCCCAAATAATTAAGAATGCTGGGCCTGGGGCTTCTCACTTCCTTAGGTTTTCATAGCTTTCCTGAGTACTGCATCAGTTAGCTGATCAGCAGCCTTTGTTTTTTAGCCACCATTGGAGTCATGATCACGTTCTCATTAGGTGTAGGTATTTTCTTTTTTTCAAATATTGCCTTTAAGAAAACATTTTGTTAGCCGGGCGCAGTGGAAGCTGAGACAGGAGAATTGCTTGAGCCTGAGAGGTAGAGGTTGCAGTGAGCTGAAATCATGCCATTGCACTCCAGCCTGGGCAACAGAGCAAGACCTTGTCTCAAAAAAAAATAAATAAATAAAAATTAAAAAAAAAAACTTTTGTATTTTGGCAATTTTGATTTACTAAAGATTTCCTTCTTGAGGTTACTGTTCTGATTTTATAGGTAATCCCTATGCGTTCCCTCTGAGTTTAAGAAATTGTATCCAATATCCCTGATTTTCCCTTAAAGATTCTGCTGTTTTCCTGGTTCTCTGGTCCCTTCTTCACTCTGAAAGTAAAGAGTAGGGCCTGAGATATCCCAGGATGTTTCTCTTCATCTCCCCAGCCCATACAGTTGGAGATTGTGCTCAAAGATTTGCCAAAATAGAGATTTTACACCAAGCCTGTCCAACCCGCGGCCCTCGGGCCACATGCGGCCCAGTAGGTTTTTTTTTTTTTTTTTTTTTTTTTTTTTTTTTTTTTTTTTGAGACGGAGTTTCTCTCTTTTTGCCCAGGTTGGAGTGCAATGGCACGATCTCGGCTCACTGCAATCTCCGCCTCCTGGGTTCAAGAGATTCTCCTGCCTCAGCCTCCCGAGTAGCTGGGACTACAGGCACCCGCCACCACACCCGGCTAATTTTTTGTATTTTTAGTAGAGACGGGGTTTCACCATGTTAGCCAGGATGGTCTCGGTCTCCTGACCTCGTGATCCATCCGCCTCAGCCTCCCAAAGTGCTGAGATTACAGGCGTGAGCCACCACGTCCGGCCACGGCCCAGTAGCTTTGGATGTAGCCCAACACACATTCGTAAGCTTTCCTAAAGCAGTAAGAGATTATTTTGTGTGTGACTTTTTTTTTTTTTTAAGCTCATCGGCTATCATTAATGTTAGTGTATTTTATGTGTGGCCCAAGACAATTCCTCTTCCAATGTGGCCCAGGGAAGCCAAAAGATTGAACACCCCTGTTTTACACATCCTGTTGTGACAACTCTAGGTTTCCTGTCATTTATTTTCTTTTTCTTTCTTTCTTTCTTTCTTTTTTTTTTTTTTTGTGGCGGAGTTTTGCACTTGTTGCCCAGGCTGGAGTGCAGTAGTGCGATCTTGGCTCACTGCCGCCCTGACCTCCCAGGTTCAAGTGATTCTCCTTCCTCGGCCTCCTGAGTACCTGGGATTACAGGTGCGTTGCCATCACGCCCGGTTAATTTTTGTATTTTTAGTAGAGATGAGGTTTCACCATGTTGGCCAGGTTGGTCTCGAACTCCTGCCTCAGGTGATCCGCCCATCTCAGCCTCCCAAAGTGCTAAGATTATAGGTGCGAGCCCTGGCTCCCGGCTGTAATATCCATTCTTAATCGCTATTTTTGATGAAGCAATTTTTTTATTAAAAAACTTGGTGTACTTTAAATATTTTCCTGGTGTTAGCTATGATAGGATTTGCCATGTATCTTTCACCCTTTTAGTTACCCCATGGGTTGTTTTGTGAACCTGCCTCACATTTTCTGTGCATGTCCTTGAATGTTGTAGAATCCTAGGAGGGTCGAGAGTGGGTTCTGAAGAGCTTCCCCACGTACCTCCATTCAATTCAATGCTAGCCTTTCCCCATGGAGTGGAGGCCTTTGGACTTCTCTTGCCACCAGAGTGGACTTAGGGAACAGGCAGTTGGCATTTGAGGTCCTCATGCTAAACTTAGAGCCTAGCACTCCCTTGAGCAAGCCACCTTCTCCCCTGTGCCTCCCATTTTTTTCCCTAAGGTGAGTGCTCCTAAGTCTGTGGAGGTGCTCCCCTGCTGTTTTCTCCAGGGTCCTCAGAGGCCCCCCCCCTTTTTTTTCTATAGTAGGCTGACAGAGCAAATGGTTCCAAGGGTGCCTGGGGCCAGCCTCAGAGCTGTGGCTGCAGCTGTGAACCCAGGCTGTGTCAGAGGAAGCTTGGCTTAAGTATAAATAACCTTAGCAGAACTCAAGGTCCAGTCACCTGTGGAAGAGAGGTGAAACTCGAAATGCAGTGCCCACTCCCTCTCCCTCCTGAGATACATAAACACAACTTGGTGTTGAAATTTGAGATGGTACAATGGGAGTGGGTGTGGTTTAGGGAGAGTTGTATCTGCCCTGCATAGATTTGGGGGCCTGATGCAGTGGTCCAGACAGACCTGAAATCTGATTCCAGTGGGACTTCTGGGAAAGTGGCTAAACCTCTTAGCCTGTTCCCACCTATAAAAATGAGGAGACAGAAACCTACCAAATAAGATTCCTTCAAGCATTTAAGTGATGCAGCACTCAATCAATACCAGCTTCTGTGTGTTCACGCTAATTTCTATTATCCATGGACTAGAGAAGATAGGATGGGGGTTTGATGGATGCAGAGGAGAGGGAGGGGGGTCACAAAGGAATGATTACCGGAAGGTGATAAGAGCTATATCTGTACACCATGGCTAAGCTGTGACAAGAAAGCAGAGAGGTGTAAATGCCAGGGTGGGAGGTGAGAAGCAAGGAGATTGGGGGGAAAGCCAGGGCCAGAAATGAAACGTCCCTGTCCTGTGTGTCATGCTCCTGGAAGCTGGGCCTCCAGCTGGGTATGACAGCCAGTTTTTCATGTGAGCTTCCCCTTCTAGGATGAGGATCCACAGAGCTAGCAACCTTGCTGAGCTAGATACTAAGCAAGAGTCCTAGAAGCAGGTCCCATTATCAAGCCAGATGGGAGTAGGTTCTGGTACGGCCACTCTGTTCCGTGTTCCAGAGGTATCCAGAGTCCAAGGGGTGGTCTGCACCCCCGCTCCTCCATCACTCTCTCCTTTGTGTACTTGTCTCTCCAATGAGATGGTTAACTCCCTTGGGAGCAAGGAATTATCTGTCGCCCCTCTTCTTGTGTCTAGTGTAGTGCTCTGAACAATGGGTTTCAGTTAATTAAGCAAACATAAATGTATTCTTCTGGAGCACAGTGTTTTCCTCTGCTCATTATATGATACCACTTATCCAGAAGTTCTTTCCAAGAAAGTCCAGACAGCTCCTGGGGAGAACAAAGTGCCAGGTGTGAGAGGGCAGGTCCTACAGAATTGTTGCTTCCGGCCACAGAGTACTTATGCTAAAACATGTAAAAGTATTAAAATTAGGGCAGTGTGGTTATTACCATTTTACAGTTGAAGAAAGTGAGGTTCAGCCGGGTCACAGCTTGTACATGGACTCCTGGGTGCAGTGCAGTCCTGGGTGCAGTGCTCTTTCCACTTTCTTGACCCAGAGGTCTGCTTCCTGCCCATAAGCCAGGCCCTCCAGCTGGATGCCCGTTCCTCAGAAGCGGCCCTTTGTCCCACCCTCCATCATTCTGCATTCCCATTCTGAGCACCTACTGTGTGCCAGAACATTTCCAGACTGTGATGCTGGCTGTGAGAGGGCAGAGAGCAAGGTGAACACGGGTCAGATTCCCCCAAAGGGCGGAGGTGATGGGGATTAGTTTATGGAAGTCCTTTGGTGCCTAGCACTTGGCTGGACACTGTAAAAATGCCTCTGTTAGCCTGGGAAACCTAGCGACATCCAGTCTCTTGGAAAGAAAAAAAAAAAAAGCCAGGCATGAAGGCGTGTGCCTGTGGTCCCAGCTTCTGGGGAGGCTGAGGCTTGAGCCCAGCCCTGGAGGTTGAGTTTGCAGTGAGCCGTGATCGCGCCACCGCACTCCAACCTGCGCGATACTGCCAGATCCTGTCTCAGAAAAAAAAAAAAAAAAAAAAAAAAAAGCCTGTTACCCGGGAGGAGAGCTCCTCGCCCGACCTCTACCCTCATGAAGAGAGGCTCAGAGGGCTGAAGTGCCTATTTGGCCGAAAGCCGTGGCAGAGTGGCAAGGCAGGGCCAGGGGAAGCGGCTCCGCCGCCGGGGCCGGGCCCCTGTTTGGCCGGTGCCCGGTCCTTAGCCTGAAGGTGGCGGGCTTCCGCCAGAAGCCCCTGGCGGAAGCGGTGCCCGCGTGCGGGCCAGAGTGTGGGTGTGCAGGTCTCTGGGCGGCCCAAAGGGGGTGCCCCTGCCTGGTAACCTAGCGGGAGGGTGGGGACGGCGGGGAGGGCGGCGGGCGCGGGGCACGGCTCCGCTGCTCAGGGCAGGCTCCGCCCCCAGGGGCGCGGATTTAAAAGGATCGAAGGCAGCCCCGGAGCCCAGCGGCCGGGAAGCGCGCCCGAACGAAGCCGCGGCCCGGGCACAGCCATGGCCCGGCGGGCGGGGGGCGCTCGGATGTTCGGCAGCCTCCTGCTCTTCGCCCTGCTCGCTGCCGGCGTCGCCCCGCTCAGCTGGGATCTCCCGGAGCCCCGCAGCCGAGCCAGCAAGATCCGAGTGCACTCGCGAGGCAACCTCTGGGCCACCGGTAAGTCTTTGGGGACGGAGCAAGCAAGCGCCCCTCATCCAGTTCAGACCCCATTTCCTTCTCAACCCTCTGGCCGCTCCTCAGCCACGGACACTAGTGTCGGAGCAGGTGGAAAACCCTGGGGCTCATCTAATTTAATAGATATGTACTTGAGACCCGGACAGGTCAGTGACTTGGCTAAGGTCGCGCAGCCAGTTTAAGACAGGGCTGGGCTAGATCCTAAATCCCACTGCCAGCCGGTGCCCCTTACCTTAGGCGAGACTTAACCGAATCTTCTAACCGCTGGTGTGTTTTTGCTGCACCTCCACTTTCCAGGCGCCTCTTCACTCTCCACTTCCTACCCTGCCCTTTTTCGTCCCTTGTCCAAGCAGCCCACACAACTAGCAGAGTTTCTCCCTGGCCCTGGACCATCCCACCTTCCTGCCAGCTGTGCCATCCTCTCTACCTGTTCAGGAAAAGCTGAGGGAGCAGGCTTTGCCACCACCCAGACACCTTTGTGGCTCCTTGGTGAGGTGGAAGCACCAAGAGGAGGAAGGTTAAGTGTCTTCCCGCTACAAGAACGGAAACGTGGGAGAGATGAGGAACTTTTCCTCTGAGGTAGGATCCTGGCTGCTTGACTTCCTTGTGCCTGGACACCTCCTTTCCAGGTCACTTCATGGGCAAGAAGAGTCTGGAGCCTTCCAGCCCATCCCCATTGGGGACAGCTCCCCACACCTCCCTGAGGGACCAGCGACTGCAGCTGAGTCATGATCTGCTCGGAATCCTCCTGCTAAAGAAGGCTCTGGGCGTGAGCCTCAGCCGCCCCGCACCCCAAATCCAGGTGAGCCGGGCCCCTGCTCCAATGTCAGGAGGGCCCAGCTGGGGCCATCCCCGGATCCTGCATGGGAGGAATTACCACCCAGTACTGTATTAGGGTGTGACTGTCTGACTAGGACATTATGGGTGTGGACCCCAGAAAGCCAGGTTTCCAGGCTTTTCCCTCTTGAGGCAGAGCTCAAAGGAGGAACAGTCCAAAGAAAGGAAGCTGACCTTCCCAGTAGACCCCATGGGGCAAGAAGTAGGGAAAGAAGTTCCCCTGACTCATCACCCAGTCTAAAGTAACAGACTGGGATCATCAGCCTTTTGGAGCAGGACCTTTCTCCCCCAGTCTACACAGTCTTGTCCCACCCATGCTGTTCCCTGCTGCATTAGTCAAGTCCACCTTTGCTGTGTCCTGTGTATGCTTGTGGCCGGAATGGGACCCTGAGGCCCAGAGAGGGAAAGAGAAGTCAGCAGCCAAGACAGAGTCTGGACCTTGTTCACCTGGACTGGAGCTCTTCCCATTCTCTCATCTGCCTCAGTATCCAGTGGTAGGGTTTAGCAACTTCAGTACATTTGACGTTCTAGGCTGAATCACTGTTTCTTGTGAGGGCTGACGTGTGCATCATGGGATGTTTGGCAGCATCCCTGGTCTCTACATACTAGATGCCAGTAGCATCTTTCCCCCCCATCAAGTTGTGACAACTGAAAAGACCTCCAGACATCACCAGATGTCTGCTGGGGGAGAGGGCCCCAAATCATTATTGGTTGTCAGTCACTGATCTATGGGATTCAAGACTCCAAAGCTGGAGCCAAGCTAGCCTCAAGGTATAGCCCCGCTGAGTGGCAACTCCTTCATTCCCTGCTCCTGGTGCTGTCCTTACTGCACACCACCCTCCCTGGTCCTGCTGCTGTGTGCAGAAGGCAGTGTGATGTGGTAGAATGTGGGTTTTGACTACAACGTGCTGGGCTCATAACCTAGCTACTTAGTAGCTGTATGACCTTAGAAATGTCCCTTAACTTCTCTAAAGCCTCAATATTCTTCACCCATAAAATGAAGATAATAAGGCCCATCTCCCATTAAATGAGACCATTTATGTCAAATGCTCAGCATGGTGCCTGGCTCATAGACAGCCCTTAGTAGATGCGAGCTCTTATCAGTCTGTGAGCTCCCTGGCGGCACCTGTTGTAGACTCGCCTTCATATCCCCCAGTGTGCCTAGCATATAGTGTGTGCATTTTGAAGGGAGAGGCATTCCCTAGAAAAGGTCCAACCCAGCCTCAACCAACATCCCTGACTTCCTGAGGCACAGAACCAGCAGCCCCTGAGGACCTCAGATGTAAGGCCTAGGAGCTTGGGCTGGCTGAGTCTGAAGGGAAACAATGTCACCTCTAATGCCCTTGGTTTTGAAGCTCTGACACATGCAGACCAACTAGAGAATCTCAGAAGCAGCAGTGCCTACGTCTGGGGCTTCAGAGTGAGGTCTGGGGCAGAGCTGGGGTGGGGGAGTGAGGACGCTGACACTAGCCCAGCACCAAGCACTGTATTTGGATTTTCTTCCACGATCTTCTTTGACTGTCATGACCACCCTGGGTGGTTGGGGCTGTGTTCTGAGAAAACTACTGCCCCGACCCCTCCAAGGCAATTCAGGGTGCTCTGGGGCCTGCCTCAGCTGACAGCCTGCTGGTGCCCACCTCTGCAGACATCTGGCACTTAGGAATGGCAGGATGCCCCTATCTTTATCAGGAGCCCCTCCCTGGCTCAATTCTTCTGTATGTTTCTCTTCAGTACAGGAGGCTGCTGGTACAAATACTGCAGAAATGACACCAATAATGGGGCAGACACAACAGCGTGGCTTAGATTGTGCCCACCCAGGGAAGGTGCTGAATGGGACCCTGTTGATGGCCCCATCTGGATGTAAATCCTGAGCTCAAATCTCTGTTACTCCATTACTGTGATTTCTGGCTGGGTCACCAGAAATATCGCTGATGCAGACACAGATTATGTTCCTGCTGTATTTCCTGCTTCCCTGTTGAATTGGTGAATAAAACCTTGCTCTTTACATACAATGCCTGGTCCTCTCCTTTCACCCGTCTTTTAGGGGATGGGAGGAAAAGGGGGCTGGAGGGCAGAGTGTTCAGTGAGATGGGGCTGGCTCAAAAAGTCCAGAATACCCCATGCCATGGCACCAGCCTGGCACTGACTCTGGCCTCCTACCCATTCATTCAGCAAGCAAATAACGCCTGTTGCATGCCAGGCTTCGTGCCAGGCGCGGGGTTCTACTCTCATCTCTGCCACCTACTGGCGCAGGCAAGTGTCACTAGTTTCCTCGCTAGTAAAAGGGGGCTGCAGACACTACACTGCCGGGCTTTACTCAATACCCCCGCCGGACTTGGAGGGGAGCGCCGAGTTGGGATCCAGACCCTGCCGGCCGCTTCCTCTCTTCTCTGGCCGTCAGAAGGGTTGCCAGCGTTAGCAAATAAAAATACTGGACACCCAGTTAAATTCGAATTTCAGATAAACAATAATTTTATCTAATAAAATGTACCAAATATTGCATGAACATACTCGTAAGAAAGAAATTATTCACCGTTTTTCTGAAATTCGAATTTAACCGGGCGGTCCTGTATTATTTCTGGCCTTGGAGCATTCATTGCCCCTCTCTTGGGCTGCAAACACCTGGCCCTAAAACGGGCGATCATTTGGTCCTCAGGTCCTGCTTGGAGCTGACAGCGGGAAAGTCCCGATTTCAGGTCACTTTTCCCGGAGCTTTCGCGGAGAAAACCCGTAACCCACCCATGCCGGGCCGCAGCTCAGCCTGTTAACCCCGCCCCTAACGGGAGGCCCTGCCCACATCTCGCGAGAGCCGCGCGGCCCCCGAAGGCTCGCAGGCGGAAGTGAGACGCCGGAAGCGGTCGTTGCCATGGATCCTGGGGACGACTGGCTGGTGGAATCCTTGCGCTTGTAAATCGTACGGGGCTGGGACATGGGAGCTGGGCCTGGAGCTTGCCTGGCGGGCGGATGGGTGTGGGTGGAGGCACGTTGGGGATCCTGGTGCAGAGTGGGCCAGCTGTGGCCTCGGGGCTCGCCACCGTGGAGGACTCCGCCTGGGCCTAGGCCCCCATCTCTAGGAAATGGCTCCTTCCTGCGTGCGCGCGTTGTGAGATTACTAGTAAGAGCCGCGCTTGTGAAGACGCAGTGCCCAGTTAGTTTGCGCCAGCCTCTGAGTTCAGCTCAGAACACAGATGATCTCATTGATTCCTCACGTCAACCTTGGGAAATCTGGGTACCCTGGGACGTCCACACATGAGGACCGAGGCTCAGGGACATCAAGGGACTGGCCTGGTCCCAGAAACAGGGAGTAAAATGGGAAGTAAACTCAGTCCCACGTCTGCCTGACTCCAGAGTTTGGGCCACTGAACCATGCGGCTGCCATCTTGGAGTTCTTTGAGCTGTGAAGTGCTGTGCATCGTGTGATTCTGTGTCCCTTTTGTGCAGGTACCAGGATTTCTATGCATTCGACCTGTCAGGAGCCACTCGAGTCCTTGAATGGATTGATGACAAAGGTGGTATACCTTTCTAGCCCTGAAGGAGAGGGAATCTCACTCCTGAGCTGGGTTTCAGGAGCTAAGCCTAGAGGGACCCAACCCACTCTTCTGGGCACCTGAGAGTCACTTGTAGCAATTTGATGCCCCATCAGCACTAATATTCCTCTTATTAAGATCTCTGACCGGGAGCAGTGGTTCACGCCTGTAATCCCAGCACTTTGGGAGGCCGAGGCAGGCGGATCACCTGAGGTCAGGAGTTCGAGACCAGTCTGGCCAACATGGTGAAACCCCGTCTCTACTGAAAATACAAAAATTAGCCGGACGAGGTGGTGCACACCTGTGTACCAGCAGCTACTGGGGAGGCTGAGGCAGGAGAATCACTTGAACCCAGGAGGTGGAGGTTGCAGTGAGCTGAGATCACGACACTGTATTCCAGCGTGGCTAACAAAAAAAGTCTTCAGGCTGGGCACTTCAGGAGGCTGAGGCAGCGGGCAGATTGCTTGATCCCAGGAATTTGAGACTAACCTAAGCAAGGAAACCCTGTCTCTACAAAAAATACAAAAATTAGCCGAGCATGGTGGCTCACGCCTATAATCCCAGCTACTCTGAAGGCTGTGGTGGGAGGATCACTTGAGCCTGGCAGGTTGAGGCTGCAGTGAGCTGTGATCGGACCACTGCACTCCAGCCTGGCTGACACAGCGAGACCTTGTCTGAAAAAGACACAACCAGGTACTCAATTCCTCCATACAAGGCTGCACAGTGAAGGAATGTATCCTTACTTCGGGGGATTGCATGGTCTGCAATCTTTCTAACAATTTGTGACAGCTACCTCTGCTTCTTTTTCCAGGAGTCTTTGTTGCTGGCTATGAAAGCCTGAAAAAGAATGAAATTCTTCATCTGAAATTACCTCTCAGACTTTCTGTAAAGGAAAACAAGGTAACTTAAAATATAAATGCTGAGTATGTCAACTTTTATTTATTTATTAAACATTTGTGGAGCTCCTGTTATCTACCAGGTATTGTCCTGGATACTAGAAAGAGAGAAAGCGCTAGGCCTGCCCTTCTAGTCTAACAGAGGGAGGCACATATGCACAGAGATAAATGCTGTAGAATGTCTCGTGGTTTACAGAGGGCTATCAGAGGAGGAGGTCAGTTATACTTTATCAGAAATAGATTTAGGGAGCGATTAAGGATATAGAGGGCGGTCGAAATGCGTAGAGTGATTAAAGTCACCTAGTGAATGTGTGGTATATAAGGAGTGAGGAGAATATAGTGAGGACGGAACCTCAGGGAACACATTTAAGGGATGAGTACAGGAAGATGCACCCCCCCTCCCCAAAGAATACTAAGAAAGAACAGCCTCTGAGGTAAGAGGAATCTCAGAAAAGGTCAATGTTTCTGAAGCCAAGAGAAGAGAACTTCTCAAGAAAAAAAGAGTTAGTAGCTGTCTAGAGTTCCAATAAAATCATTGAGAGAAGAATTGAAGGCCAGGTGCAGTGGCTTACGCCTGTAATCCCAGCACTTTGGGAGGCCGAGTTGGGCGGATCATGAGGTCAGGAGTTCGGGACCATCCTGACCAACATGGTGAAACCCCGTCTCTACTAAAAATACAAAAATTAGCCAGGCATGGTGGCGCACACCTGTAATCCCAGCTACTCAGGAGGCTGAGGCAGGAGAATTGCTTGAACCCGGGAGGCGGAGGTTGTAGTGAGCTGAGATCGTGCCACTGCACTCCAGCCTGGGCAACAGCAAGACTGCATCTCAAAAAAAAAAATCATTCAGATGAGGAATTGAGTTCATTCATAAGACTGGCAATTGGGAAACTCTTGGTGACCTCTGCTACAGGATTTTTGCTGGTGGTGGTCAGGCCCAAAGACTAAAAATGAAGAGGAAGCAGAGTCACGAAATGTAGGGAGGGAAGAAGCTAAAGCAGCAACTAGTCGGAAACACAGATCTGAGGGAAGGTTTCCTAAACACAGAGGCTTGAGCAGAGTTAGAAGCTATGGGAAAGTAACCCTTGAAGAGGGAGAGGGTGAAAATGAGGGAATATCACAGGGAACACGCTCCTGCTTCCAGGAATAGAAGGTGAGGATAGATCAGGAGTCCAGGGGATGGTATTAGTCATCAGAGGACAAGGGAGGAGTGAGGCATGCAGGCAGATGACCTTGAAGGGCCATGTGGGGGCAGGAATTTGAGTGTTTGCTCCTGAATTCCTTTTTGTTTTGAGACAAGGGCTTGCTCTGTCACCCAGGCTGGAGTGCAGTGGCGCGATCCCTGGCTCACTACAGTCTAAACCTCCCAGGCTCAAGTGATCCTCCCGCCTCAGCCTCCCAAGTAGCTGGGACTACAGGCATGTGCCACCATGCTTGGCTAATTGTTAAATTTTTTTGTAGAGATGAGGTTTCACTGTGTTGGCCAGGCTGGTCTCGAACGCTTGGCTTCAAGTGATCCGCCTGCTTCGGCCTCCCAAAGTGCTGGGATTACTGGCATGAGCCATCACTCCTGGCCCCAAACTTCTTAAAAAAATTTTTTTTTTTTTTTGAGGTCTCACTCTGTCACCTAGGCTGGAGTGCAGTGGCGCGATCTCAGCTCACTGCAACCTCTGCCTCCTGGGCTCAAGCCATCCTCCCACTTCAGCATCCCGAGTAGTTGGGACCACAGGCATGTGCCACCACACCTGGTTAATTTTTGTATTTTTTGGTAGGGACGGGGTCTTGCCAAGCTGTTCTCAAACTCCTGAGCTCAAGCAATCCTCCTGCCTCCCAAAGTGCTGGGATTCCAGGTGTGAACCACCGCACTTGGCCTTTTTTATTTTGTTTTGTTTTAAATTATTTAATGAAATAGGAAACAATCCGAGTGCGGTGACTCATGCCTGTAATCCCAGCACCTTGGGAGCGGGAGACCAACGTGGGCAGATCACTAGAGGCCAGAAGTTCAAGACCAGCCTGGCCAACATGGTGAAACCCCATCTCTACTAAAAATAAAACAAATTTGGCCAGGCGCGTGGCTCACACCTGTAATCCCAGCACTTTGGGAGGCTGAGGTGGGCGGATCACAAGGTCAGGAGTTCGAGACCAGTCTGGCCAATATGGTGAAACCCCATCTCTACTAATAATACAAAAATTAGCCGGGTGTGGTGGCATGCGCCTGTAGTACCAGCTACTCAGGAGGCTGAGGCAGAAGAATTGCTTGAACCTGGGAGGTGGAGCTTGCAGTGAGCCAACATCAAGCCACTGCATCCAGCCTGGGTGACAGAGTGAGACTCCGTCTCAAAAAAAAGAAAAAGAAAAAGAAAATTAGCCGGGTGTGGTGGTATATGCCTTTAATCCCAGCTACTCAGGGGAGGCTGAGGCACCAGAGAATCCCTTAAACCCAGGAGGCAGAGGTTGCAGTGACCTGAGATGGCACCACTGCACTTCCAGCCTAGGTAACAGCATGACACTCCGTCTCACAAAAATAAGTAAATAAATTTATCTTAGGGCCTCACCATGTTATGGAGTTGAGTCTAATTGTTTAGAAGAGAAGAGGCTAAGAGGCTAGACAAGGACATAGAAAAACATTGTTCAGCCTGGGAGAGGCTAGATCCCATGCAGATGTGGCCCAGTTTTTATCAAAGTAGCCTGAGGACCACCCTACCAGGGCCATTAGGAGTGCTGGCTAAAATGCATATTCCTAGCATACTTCCCAAACATACTGAATTATAATCTCAAGAGGGAAAGCTTAGGAAAAATGCCAAGTTTGTAGACTGACATGGTGACTCACACCTGTAATCCCAGCACTTTTTGAAGCTGAGGCGGTGGACTGCTTGAGCCTAGGAGTTCAAGTCCAGCCTGGACAACATGGCAAGCCCATCTCTTCACAAAATTTAAAAAGTTAAAAAAGACCAGGTGTGGTGGCTTATGTCTGTAATCCCAGCACTTTGGGAGGCTGAGGCAGGCGGATCACCTGAGGTTGGGAGTTCGAGACCAGCCTGGGCAACATGGCAAAACCCTGTCTCTACTAAAAATACAAAAATTAACTGGGTGTGGTGGTGCACACCTGTAGTCCCAGCTACTCAGGAGGCTGAGGCAGGAGAATAGCTTAAACTGGGGAGACAGAGGTTGCAGTGAGCCAAGATCACGCCACTGCCCTCCAGCCTGGGCTACAGAGTGAGACTCTGTCTCAAAAAAAAGTTAAAAAAAAAAAAAAAGCCAAATTTGTACTCATAAAACCCAGAGGCTACAGAAGCTATAGGGTAGCACCTAGTGTTCTTCATCTTCCCCATCTCCAGTCAGGCTTGAGTCAGGGGTTCACCCAGACTGAGCCTAGCTGTGAGAACTGATTTAACCTCCCCGCTCACCACCAGCTTTGCCTTGTTTCTTCTATGGCCACCTCCTTTTCCCTTGCCTCTGGTTCCTTACATGGAGATAGTAGAGCCTAGTGGCTAACAGTGTGGACTTGGGTTAGACAGACTTTGGTTCAAATTCACAACTTAATACTTGTATGACCTTATATAAGTGGCTGAAGCTCCTTGTGCCTTAGTTGTGTCATTTGTAGAATAGGGATAATTATAGTACCTATATCATAGGAGGTTGTAAGAATTAAATGTGATAAAGCCCTAAACACTGCGCCTGACACAGTGAATACTGATAAGTTGTAATTGTTAATTTTTATCGTTAGAGGAACCCACCTGACTTCCAGCGGGAGAATGGAGGGAGAAATGGGGATGTGTTCATTGCTCTCTTTGATGAAGCTGTTAAGCTTCTCTGGCTTCTCTAGGAAGGCCTGGAGTATAATGCTTGTGCTGTAGTAAAAGGGGCTAGTGAAAGGCTAGGAGAAGGGTTTTGGATGTGCAAAGGAAAAAGGAAGCTGTACGTGTAGGCAGCTGAGACCAACATTGCCAAATACCAGGACACCAACGCCCTTTCACCAGCTGAGTGGCTTCCATGGCCTCCTGCCAGGCTAGGACCTGACTCCTCACTTAGAGTTCCTCTGAAATGTTCATTTGAAGAGCTGGCTCTGATTGGCTACTCCTTTGTATTTTAGGGCTTATTCCCAGAAAGAGATTTCAAAGTGCGCCATGGAGGATTTTCAGACAGGTCTATCTTTGATCTAAAGCATGTGCCACATACCAGGTATGGTCAATTTTGTGATCCAGCCATCCACACAGGATGGGATGGGATGGCTGCAAATGCCTGGGGGTATTCTGCCTCCTCATCTCCATTCCCACCCCCTCAGCACACAGGCACATGTGAGTGCACAAGTGTGTGCACACAGATACACACAGATTTAGAATACAAAGAAACCACTGCTGTGGCTTCATAGCCCCCCAGAGCCCTTGGACTAATGTAAGTAACAGTTCTACCGGAGTTGCTCCAGGGAATAGATACGGGACAGAAAGATGCTCTTCTATTGCTCTTGGGTGATAATTGCTCAGTTGGGAGAGGCCAAGAGTCTCTGGGTCAGGTTGTGTTTGGCCCCATACTTGTGTCCTCTGTAGGTGACCATCATGACACATGGAAGCTTGGGCTCAGTCTCCCTAAAGTTGATTGAGCCTGCTCCTTATCTGTGAAATGAGGGTGGTTGGCCTTGATGATCTTGCAGTAAGATGTCCTGATATGGGAAGTGGAGTCCCAAGCTAAGTGTGCTGGAAAGGGGAAGGGACCTGTGTGGATAAGCTCCCCATGGTCTGGACTGATTTTGTCTTTTCTGAATAGATTGCTGGTTACCAGTGGCCTTCCAGGTTGTTATCTGCAGGTGTGGCAGGTTGCAGAGGACAGTGGTGAGTGAATTTGACTTGATGGGGTTTGGGGTTCTAGGAAAGTGTGACTCATACACCCCTGTCCCCTAATCTGAGCCAGTTAAGAAGGAGACTCAGGCTGGGGACAGTCTCATGCCTGTAATTGTAGCACTTTGGGAGGCTGAGCTGGGTGGATCACTTGAATTCAGGAGTTGAAGACCACCTTGTACAACATGGTGAAACCTGTCTCTATTAAAAATACAAAAAATTAGCCGGGCATGGTGGTAGGCACCTGTAATCCCTGCTACTGGGGAGACTGAGGCAGGAGAATTGCTTGAACCTGGGAGGCGGAGGTTACAGTGAGCCGAGATCATGCCACTGCACTCCAGCCTGGGCAACAAGAGCAAAACTCCGTCTCCAAAAAAAAAAGTAGTAGTAGACTCAGAGCCAGGTGGGAATTAATCTACTTTAATGCAGACAAGGTGAATTAGCAACCATAGCATGGCATCCAAGCCCCAAATGGAGCTTCCTGTAACCTGCTCCTGGAATTGAGTTCATCCAGAGAACTACTCTCCCTAGGCAGGGGCAGTGGCAACAGCAGAGCTTAGGCTGCTCAGGTGAGCTCACCTCTTTGGCAGCATTAAGCATATATTAAGAGAAGCCTCAGATGTAGAATACAGAGAGGAGAACCTCCCTGCTAACCAAGCAGGTGGAGACAACCAAATAAAAACTAAAACTTGGCTGGGCGCAGTGGCTCATGCCTGTAATCCCAGCACTTTGGGAGGCCAAGGTAGGTGGGTCACCTGACCAGGAGTTTGAGCCCAGCCCGAGCAACATGGCGAAACCCCGTCTCTACTAAAAATACAAAAAAATTAGCTGGGCATGAGGGTGCACATCTGTAATTCCAGCTACTCAGGAGGCTGAGGCAGAAGAATTTCTTGAACCTGAGAGGCGGAGGCTGCAGTGAGCTGAGATTGTGCCACTGGACTCCAGCCTGGGCAACAGAGTGAGACTCTGTCTCAAAAAAACAAAAGAACCAAAACAAAACTTGACTCAAAGCCAAGGATGTTCCATTCAGTGTAAAAAAGATGTGGACTTTCTTGTCCACCTTACAAGACAATGACATCTGTAATGTGACCTGTACTTGCTAGGCTTTAGCAAGTCACTCGAGGTCATGGAACATGTTTTTGAAGAAATAATATCAGTTCATGAATTCTGTACCTGTTTCTTGTCGCTGAAGGGGTAAGTGACATCAGCAGCATGTTCATTCCTTTTCTTGTCTTCTACCTGTTCTCCACAAAAGTATAAAAAGCCAGAATTGCTTTTTGGGTTTTGAGATGGCATTGTCTTCCATTTGCAAAAAACAGTTTATAAGACAAATAATAAAGAAATTGAAATGTTTCTGATGGTTTCAAAAATGTAAACATAAGCCAGAGTAGTTATGTCTCAACATCATCTCTTGCCAGCCGGCAGCTCCTTTTCTTCCTTGATCTTCTAAATGTACAGGGGAAGACAGCTGGCAGCCTGTCATGTTTCAAACCTTCATTAAAGTTCTGGATTTTGGCCTCTTCGTTTTCCCCTAGATGTCATTAAAGCTGTCAGCACCATTGCTGTGCATGAGAAAGAGGAGAGTCTCTGGCCTAGGGTGGCCGTCTTCTCCACATTGGCACCCGGAGTCCTCCATGGGGCGAGGCTCCGAAGTCTGCAGGTCGTTGATCTGGAGTCCCGGAAGACCACGTACACCTCAGGTACCGTGGTACTTTGTCCCTTGCTTGCTGCTCCAGCCGGCATCACCCCCCAGCCCAACTCAGCCACTATAAAAACTGAGTTCAACTCTCTGTGCCAGGTGTTGGGGATACACAGTGAATAAGAGGTAAGCCCTGGCCTCTAAGGGCTCCTATGCTGGGGCAGGATTAGGCAGTCCCAGGGACCAGCACCCAACCAGCTGAGCAGACAATGGTGAGATGAGTGGGAAGGGAGATGTGATTTATTCTGCCTGGGACTGGTGGGAAGGGACCTGTGACCAGCCAGCCCTGCCAAATTGCCAGACCCATCTGCCTCCAGCCGCTTGTCTCCTTTGCTGTCGGTCTTCCAGATGTCAGTGACAGTGAGGAGCTGAGTAGCCTGCAGGTCCTAGATGCAGACACCTTTGCCTTCTGCTGTGCTTCAGGCCGGCTGGGGCTTGTTGACACCCGGCAGAAGTGGGCACCGTTGGAGAATCGCAGCCCTGGCCCTGGGTCTGGTGGAGAGAGATGGTGTGCTGAAGTTGGGAGCTGGGGCCAGGGCCCTGGGCCCAGCATTGCCAGCCTTGGCTCAGATGGGCGTCTTTGTCTTCTTGACCCCCGGGATCTCTGCCATCCTGTGAGCTCAGTCCAGTGCCCAGTATCCGTACCTAGCCCTGACCCAGAGCTGCTGCGAGTGACTTGGGCCCCAGGCCTGAAGAATTGCTTGGCCATCTCAGGTACTGCCGAGCAGGATTTCGTCTTGTTATCTGATCTCTTTCTTCCAGGAGACTGTTGGGTGCTCAGGAAGGAGCCTCCAGCACCATGATAAACCTGGCTCCAGGAGTTAAAGTTGCTCACAGAGAAATTCGAACTCTCCAGGTTCTTCAGTGGCAGGCCTTTTCCTACCCTGGCTACTAAACTTCCACACATTGGCAGCAGGCCTTTCCTAGCCTAGCAGGAATTCAGGTCTCAGGTTGGTGGAGGGGCCTGCAGACAGTAAGACACTGGGACAGACATCGGGCTGGGTCAGAAAGAAAAGGGGACAGTGGCTAACACGGTGAAACCCCGTCCCTACTAAAAATACAAAAAATTAGCCAGGCATGGTGGCAGGCGCCTGTAGTCCCAGCTACTTAGGAGGCTGAGGCAGAAGAATGGCGTGAACCTGGGAGGCGGAGCTTGCAGTGAGCTGAGATTGCACCACTGCACTCCAGCCTGGGCAACAGAGCGAGACTGTCTCAAAAAGAAAAAAAAAGAAAAAAAAAAAAAAAGCAGCAGGGACAGCACCTCAAGGGTACTTCTCAGCCTACTTGCCTTTTGAAATGTAGCAAGTTGGCCGGGTGCGGTGGCTCACACCTATAATCCCAGCACTTTGGGAGGTCGAGGCGGGTGGATCACAAGGTCAGGAGATCGAGACCATCGTGGCCAACATGGTGAAACCCCGTCTCTATGAAAATAAAAAAAATTAGCCGGGTGTTTTGGTGCACGCCTGTAGTCCCACCTACTTGGGAGGCTGAGGCAGGGGAATCGCTTGAACCCGGGAGTCAGAGGTTGCAGTGAGCTGAGATGACGCCACTGCACTCCAGACTGGCGACAGAGCAAGACTCTGTCTCAAAAAAAAAAAAAAAAAAAAAAGTAGCAAGCCAGCTAGGTCAGCAGGCCCCTGGTTCTGGTCTGGTGGTAGCTAGTTGCTTGCGGCACTTAATGTGGGTATCTAAAAGCCAACAGGAAGGATCCGTCGAGGCAGGTGGGGGTTGAAAAAAATCATTAAGAGAGCAAGAAAGGATGATTGGAAATGCCAGGATCCAGAAAGAACAGAAGAGCCAAGCTCAGGTAGAGGGGCTGGCTCTTCAGTACCAGGAAGATGGCAGGATGGAATGAGTGTGTGTGCAGCTAGATCGTGCAGGGACGTGAAGGTATTTCTCTCCAAAGGCTTCTGTTTCCCCCATCGAGTAGGAGACAAGGCCATCTGCTGAAAGGGACCCAGAGGTAGGGGACTGGACTCTGGGGCAACTTGAAAAGGTTTGAAGAAGTCTCTTAAGCCTCAGTTTCCTGGGTAAAATAACAGTATCTGTGTCATACAGTTCTGAGGATTAAAAGAGCTAATACTTGTCCAGAATTAGCCTTCGAGCCTCACGCATAACAGGTGCACAACGGATGCTCATGGTTACATGCCCCACGGAGTCATCAGCTGCCAACACTGAGGGCAGATGCTACTTGCCCGTGGTTAGCCTTTTAAGTGCCTTGATTCCTCATCCAATAGCCTGTTTTGGTACCATAGAACAAATTATAAAAAGTATTTTAGGGGCTGGGTGCCTGTAATCCCAGCATTTTGGGAGGCTGAGATGGGAGGATCGCTTGAGGCTAGGAGTTCAAGACCATCCTGGTCAACATGGTGAAACCCCATCTCTATTAAAAATAGAAAGAAAATTATTTTAAAATAAAATTAGGGACTCATTGTCAAGCCTCTCTTTTCTGTATTCTCAGGTTTTGATGGTACAGTCCAGGTCTATGATGCCACATCTTGGGATGGAACACGGAGCCAAGATGGAACACGGAGCCAAGTAGAACCTCTCTTCACTCACAGAGGTCACATCTTCCTAGATGGAAATGGGATGGACCCTGCTCCTTTGGTCACCACCCACACCTGGCATCCCTGCAGACCAAGGACTTTGTTATCAGCAACAAATGATGCCTCTCTGCATGTGTGGGACTGGGTGGACCTTTGTGCCCCCCGCTGACACCAGCATCTTTCCATCTAGGCCTCTAGAAAGGGGAGGAGCTGCTGTAGTAGCAAGGGTGCTCATGTAGGACTCAAGTGACTACCAGTCCCTGTTACCAGCTGTGTGGCCTTGGGCAAGTCTGCCAGCGTCACTTAGCCTCAGTTTCCTTATCTGTAAAATGAGGATAGTAAGAACTACCTCGTAGTGATATTGCGAAGGTTAGAAGAAACGCATGGCATAATTACTTGGTAGCTATTGTTAGATCTGGGAGTGTGAAATGGTAGCGTTTTGTCCCTGTCTTCACACTATCATAGGGAGAATCAAAAGAGCTAACAAATATAAACATGCTTTGTGAATTTTTTTAAAGAAAAAAATGTAGAGGGGCCAATAAACATGAAAAAATCCCAGCCCTAGTAGCAATTAAGGAAATAGCAAAACAGGATTTCTGCTCCTCTTGAGTGGGTCTCATGGGAACACAGGTGCACTTTCCCACACTTGTCCCCCCAGGTGACTAGGTTCAAGAGACATTTGCTTTTGGTGGCCCCACAAACATTTCCTTTTGAGGGCCCATAGTGAATATTAAAGTGTGCTGGACATGGTGGCTCATGCCTGTAATCCCAGCACTTTCAGAGGCTGAGGTGGGCAGATTGCTTGAGCTGAGGAGTTTGAGACCAGCCTGGGCAACATAGCAAGATCCCTTCCCTTAAAAAAAAAAAAAAATTTGGCTGGGCATGGTGGCTCATGCCTGTAATCCCAGCAATGTAGGCAGCCAAGACAGGTGGATCACTTGAGTCCAGGAGTTCGAGACTAGCCTGAGCAACATGGCGAAACCTTGTCTCTACTAAAAATACAAGTTAGCTGGTTGTGGTGGTATGAGCCTGCAGTCCCAGCTATTCAAGAGGCTGAGGTGGGAGGGTTGCCTGAGCCTGGCAGTTGAAGTTTGCAGTGAGCTGTGATCATGCCACTGTATTCCAGCCTGGGCAACAGAATGAGACCCTGTTACACACACACACACAAAATAGATAAGTTGTTCACTCTGTCAGCATCTATTAGCCCTTCCCATGTGCAACACTAATTACATGCTAGAAATACATAAATGAGAGGCTTCCTAAGGTGGTTGAATTTTTTTTTTTTTTTTTTTTGTAGTAGAGATGGAGTCTTGCTCTGTCACCCAGGCTTGAGTGCAGTGGCGTGATCTCGGCTCACTGCAACCTCCACCTCATGGGTTCAAGCAATGCTCCTGCCTCAGCCTGCCAAGTAGCTGGGATTACAGGCACGTACCACCATGCCCAGGTAATTTTTGTATTTTTGGTACAGACGGAGTTTCACCATGTTGGCCAGAATGGTCTTGATCTCTTGACCTTGTGATCTACCCACCTCGGCCTCCCGAAGAGCTGGGATTACAGGTGTGAGCCACCGCGCCCGGCCAGGGGATTTCTCCTGTGTGAATTCGCTGGTTAAGTGATAATTAACTGCAGTTAAAATTCAGGTCAAGCATGTGGCTCATGTCTGTAATCCCAGTACTTTGGGAGGCTGAGGTGGGAGGATAGCTTGAGTCCAGGAGGAGTTCGAGATCAGCCTGGGCACCATGGTGAACCCCTGTCTCTAAAAAAAAAGAAAGATTTTTATTTAAAAAACCTAAACAAATTCAGATAGGAATTTAAAGATAGACCAGGCACAGTGGCTCACGCCTGTAATCCCAGCACTTTGTGGGGGGCCAAGGTGGGTGGATCACTTGAGGTCAGGAGTTCAAGACCAGCCTGGCCAACATGGTGAAACCCCGTCTCTACTAAAAATATAAAAATTAGAGACGGGCATGGTGGTGGCACACCTGTAATCCCCACTACTCAGGAGGGTGAGGCAGGAGAATTGCTTGAACCTGAGAGGTAGAGGCTGCAGTGAACCGAGATTGTGCCACTGCATTCCAGCCTGGGTGACAGGGTGAGACTCCATCTCAAAAAAAATAAAATAAAGATAAAATCATAAACACTCATAATTCAGTTATACCTTTTTTCAAGTAACTAAAGTTCAAACTTACTTAGGGGAACAGGCTTTCCTGGGTGCCACCTGCTTCTCAAGTCCTGTGCTTTCCACACCACAGAATAGTAAACTGGGTGCACTGAGTGCCTGGTTCCCCTCAGCCCTTAACCAGTGCTGGCTTGTCCGAGTTTAGAATCCCAGGGCTGACTTTGTTGGTGGAATGCTAGCTCCCATTCATTTCCCACCTGCACTGGACGTTTTCTGAATCTCCTTGAAGTCCGGGAGATCTTCATTCCAAAGCTCTTCACTTTTCTGCAGCATTGTGACCCCATCTGGCTGGGGAACTGGAAGTCCTGCTCAGAGAAAAGCAGGAGGGGACATGGAGTTCTGAAATTCACTTTCTGCTCCCATGTCTGGAAGTGACAGGTGAAATGAGAATGATAGTGCCTCTCAAGAAGGTCTAGTTCCCAGAAGAGAAAGTTTAATGACTCATTTTCCCCCTTTTACTCCTTTGAGGGTACAGGATAATGCCCTTATCTATTTTCATAATAATTATAATGATGATGATAATGAAAACTAACGTTTGCCAAGTGCTAATACTGTGTCAGGATCCTCATAACAGCCCAGGGAGGTAGAAACCATCACAATGTCCACTGTCCAGATGAGAAAATGGAGGCTAAGGGTATTTAAAGAGGTTGCCCAAGAACAACAAACCTTTTAAATGGCAGACTGGTGTGTATAATCTACGCAGGGTTCACATCTATGGAACACTTTATTTTAAATTCTTTTAATAATATTATTATTTTTCAGCTGAGTCTGGGTCTCACTCTGTCGCCCAGGCTGGAATGCAGTGGCATGATCACAGCTCACTGCGGCCTCCAACTCCTGGGCTCAAGTGATTCTCCTGCCCCAGCCTCCCGAGTAGCTGGGACTACAGGCTTGCGCCACCATGCCCGGCTTATAGGGCACTTTAGATGGAAACAAATGACTGGATCTTTAACTCCTACCTTTCTCTCCTCTCTTCCTGTAATGTTGTTACTGAAGGCAGGAAGGGAGACTCCTTGGCTAAAGAGCAGAGCAAGAGCCTCAAAGTGGTCTTTGTGAGCCACCCTGGACTACTGGTTCAGTAGAGGGTTGAGTCAAGCAATATTTGAGGACGGGATATAAACAGTATTTCTTAAAGTTGTCACCAATTTTTCCCCCGATGAGGCCATTCCAGACCCAAATTAGTCATAACAGAGCCAGGACAATAATCACATCTCCTGATTCTGAGCCTGAATGCTTCCCACAGGACTGCGTCGCTCCCACTGCTCTGAGGTCCATTGTGGGGGAGAGTTGCCACTGGGATTCCACCTCAAGGCCTGGGGACCAAGCCTCCAGGATTCCTCTTGAGACTCCTCCACTATTTCATTACCATCCCGCCACATCTTCTAGTGCTATGCCCTGGTTCCCTTTGGAATCCTCTCAATCCCAAAGAAGGCCTCCTACCACCTCTAAGGCATCAAAGGTGTTAGAAAGTGCCCCAAGACTCAACAGGGCATCCATCTCATCATAGAAGACACTGGTGCCTGGTGTGTAGGTGCTCCTGGCTTTGCAGTAGTCGGTCAGGAGGTTTTTGAACCGATAGCAACATTGCTCCAGGGTCCACAGGAAGCCATGTTCTCACAGCTGCTCAGCCATAATCCGGTACACCTGGTGGTTTCGATGGCAGGTGCGGAGTTTTTCGTGGATCCAGGCCTCTGAGAATTCCCAGAAAAATCTTGGTTTCTTTGTATCCCCAGTGCACTCCTGCCACCTTCTCATCCTCCAGGGCCTGCCACTCCAGCTCGCTCCAGGTCTTGGCTTTTCTCCAGATTAGCACCTGGCCAGACTTGACTCTCACCCCAGCCACTGAGCAGTCTTTCACACTCTCTTTTTCTCCAGAATTTGAAGATCTAGATGCTGTGGGTTTTCATCCTACTCCACGTGGGAGTTCACTTTGGGCCTATGGATTGGAAAATCTGTTTGCAGGCAGACAAAAGGGAGATGTAATGGTTTGGTAAATCTAATCCCAACCATTTTATATGCCAGGGAGAGGAGATAGTAATTTTTTTTTTTTAATTCTGGGGGGATTCTTGGGAAAGCTCAGTGAAAAGAACAACTAGAAAAAAAAATTCAGGCCCAAATGCATAACTATATATCCACGTTCATCTATCTTAAATAAAATTCAGACACATACCTAAACTGACCATCTCCCTAAAATGAGCTTTCCTTTCTGGGTCAAGAAATTCATCCTTGGTGAAACTGACTATGGTATTGGATTTCCTTTGAGTAAGATTTAAGGAAGAAATAGATTTGAAATATTCAACCCAGGGGGAAAGGGTGGGAGCAGGGGGGTGAGGGATAAAAGACTACACACTGGGTACAGACTGAGGGGATAAAAGACTGCACACTGGGGCCCCGTGGTGGCTCAGGCCTGTAATCCCAGCACTTTGGGAGGCCGAGGCAGGCAGATTACTTAAGGTCAGGAGTTCAAGACCAGCCTGGCCAACATGGTGAAACCCCATCTCTGCCAAAAAAAAAAAAAAAAAATACAAAAATTAGCTGGGCGTGGTGGCACATCTCTGTAATCCCAGCGACTCAGGAGGCTGAGGCAGGAGAATCACTTGAACCCGGGAGGCAGATGTTGCAGTGAGTCAAGATCATACCACTCCACTCCAGCCTGGGTGATAGAATGAGACTCAGTCTCAAAAAAAAAAAAAAGAAAAAAACAAAGACTACACATTGGGTACAGACTTGATGGATAAAAAAGACTACCCTTGGGTGATGGGTGCACCAAAATCTCAGAAATCACCACTGAAGAACTTTTCCATGCAACCAAACACTACTTGTTCCCCAAACACTACTGAAATAAAAGTTTAAAAAAAATACGTAAGAACAGACATAGGGAAAAAGAAAAAAAATTCAACTTGAAAAAGGTCTGGAGTAGTGAATACTACAGAAACTCCATAGCTAACTTTGACTATGAAAAAAAAAAAAAGGCATTCTTACCCAGCGTGACCTCATTTTCAGAATTCTGCTGAGTTATTTCTAGGTGGTTCTTCAGTCCAGGTTCTGGATCCCTCCATGCCTCCTAGGAGATATACACAGCCGAATCACCAGGTGTCACTAGCTCCTGAGGAAACAACACCCCTTCTCAAAACACATGGCCTCAGAACAAAATGCCTCTCTAATGCCTGAGTCAGGGCAAGTGACACAACAGAAGAAATGAAACAGTGATTATTTTGGCTTTTAAATGCAATCAAGCGGGCAGGAGGAGACAGAAAAGAAACAAGCTGACATTATGCACTGAGCCAGAAGCTTCTCAGACTTGCCCAGAGTTACACAGCAAGTCCAGGGTATGGCTGGGAATTCAACTCAAGGCTGTTGGACTCTGAAGCTTTTGGTTTTTGTTTTTTTTCCTCCACTACACAGTACTGCATGCCATGTGAGCAAGATCCCGACACAGAATGAAGTAACCAGTATCTTTAAGGCAAACAAGCAGATCAGTAGAATCTGATGATTTCAGGGTCAAAGAAAAGAATAATTTTAATGCAATCCCTCATTACCACAGCCATGGCACTGGCCTCATATGGGTAAGGAGATTTGGGCAACCTTTTGCAGGCTGATGAAATTTTGGAGCCTAAATTGTAAAGTTACTGGGCCTCCCTGCTGGGTAAAATTCTTTTGGAATTTCTGAGCGGCAAGAGAGTTGGTTGCAGGAGCCCCACTTGGGTAGTAAAAGGTGACCTGAGGGGGATTGGGGGCTAGGGGAGGGAGAGCATTAGGAGAAATACCTAATGTAGACGATGGGTTGGTGGGTGCAGCAAACCACCATGGCACGTGTGTACCTATGTAACAAACCTGCATGTTCTGCACATGTACCCCAGAACTTAAAGTATAATAAAAAGAGAAAATTTAAAAAAAAAGAAATATAATCTGTAAAGACAAATGACTTAATCGTTTTCCCAAAAGGAGAAAACTGAGCTGTGCCTCAAGAGTTATATTTCTATTAAAAAAAAAAGAGAGAGAGAAAAGGTGATCTATATAAGAGAAATGGCTGACTCACCTGGGAGCTGCTCACTATCTCCTGGCCACCCCTGCTCTTCTCTGCAGGAATTCCCAGAGCCACATCAGGCAGGGCTGGGGGAAGAAAAGGGAGGCATTAGAGTACATGGCTCTCAGCTCCTCTTGGGGACTAGCCCAACTGGGTTCAGACACAGAACAGCCTTTCCTCCCCCTCTTAGTATCTGCTTTGTCCTATCAAAGGAAGGTTGGTGAAAAACCAAAATGAAACATTTCTTTTTTTTTTTTTTTTTGAGACGGAGTCTCACTCTGTCGCCCAGGCTGGAGTGCAGTGGCACAATCTCAGCTCACTGCAAGCTCCGCCTCCCAGGTTCAGGCCATTCTCCTGCCTCAGCCTCCTGAGTAGCTGGGACTACAGGTGCCCACCACCACACCCGGCTAATTTTTTGTATTTTTAGTAGAGACGGGGTTTCACTGTGTTAGCCAGGATGGTCTCGATCTCCTGACCTCATGATCCGCCCGCCTCTGCCTCCCAAAGTGCTGGGATTACAGGCGTGAGCCACCATGCCCAGCCAAAATGAAACGTTTCTAAAATGAAAGTTTTAGGTTTTCCCCTCCATATCCATCTAGGTACTGACTGTCAGGGTTTTATGATTTTGTTTTTCAGGTTTTTTGTTTGCTTTTTGTTTTTTTGAGACAGGGCCTCGATCTGTCGCCCAGGCTGGAGTGCAGTGGCGTGACCTTGGCTTACCGCAGCCTTAACCTCCTGGGCTCAGGTGATCCTCCCACCTCAGCCTTCTGAGTAGCTGGGACTACAGGTGCCTGCCACCATGCCCGGCTAATTTTTTTTTTTTTTTTTTTTGTATTTTTAGAGGAGACGGAGTTTCACCATATTGCCCAGGCTCATCTCTGAACTCCTGGGCTCAAGCAATCCACCCACCTCAGCCTCCAAAGTACTGGAATTACAGGCATGAGCCACCATAACTGGCCTTGTTTTTCAGTTTTGATAACACACCTGAGTCATCTAAATTGGTCTGGGGACACTTAACTGTTTTAAGGATTACTGCACCTTAGTTTAACCCTACCCTTTTGCCCTTCCCACCAACCAGACCTAAAATCTGTCTCCAACTGTAACCTATTGGGACCGGTAATCTCTGACTCACATAAGGAAAGGTGCTACAGGCTCCCCTATGTTGTTTTACAAAACATGCCAACCGAGGTCCTTCTTCACTTTGGAGGTGCCCATTTAGGATCCCAGAAATTCATGCGGTCAGCCTGAGGTCAACACACCAATCTTCTAAGTAGAAGGGAGCTGTACCTTCTACCCCACTTTCTGCACTCACAGAGTACTTCTATGCCCTCCCCACAGAAGGGTACTTCCTTCCTCCCCACACTGCTGCTACTTTTTTTTTTTTTAAATCTGATTTTGCACTTTTTTTTTTTTCTAAGCTAAACATCTTTCAGTACAGGTAAGAAGACTGGCATCACATCTGGGAAGTGCCTTAACAGATATCTGAGGAGTTACTGCACATTAAGTCGGTAACAACACACTTCGGTTTCAAGGCGTATGTAATCTTCCCTTGATGCTCTTCAACAGAGACAAGGTTCCTGTCTGTAGATCAAATAAATCACAGTATTAGGAAAAAAAATAACAGCAAATTTGGAAGTACAATCAACTTAAGGAGAAGCAAAGGAAAAGACTTAGAAATGGGACATTATTGTCTACATCTAGAGGATACATGTATCTGAAAGCTTAAGAAAGCCCTTATCTTAGGAACTTGAAGCTGAGGATAATCTCAAGTTCACTTAGTGCCAGTCACTTTAGTTTTTAAAAAAATTTAACTTAAACCCCAGCCTAGGCAACATGGTGAAACCCAGTCTCTACTAAAAATACAAAAATTAGCCAGGCATGGTGGTATGTGCCTGTAGTCCCAGCTAGTTGTGAGGCTGAGGCGGGAGGATTGCTTGAACCTGGGAGACAGTGGGGTTGCAGTGAGCTGAGAATGCACCACTGCACTCCAGCCTGGGTAACAGAGCAAGACTCAAAAAAAAAAAAAAAATTAAACTCTTCTTATTGTGTCTTTTTCCTTGTAAGACATTAACTAAAAGTTACTGGTAGTAAATGGTGACTGTTTTACAATTGGGTTTCATTATTGACAATATCAAAAAAAAGCAGCAATCTTTAAGAGTTCAAATTAGTGTAAGATAGGAAGGACTGCAAAACAATCTGATTTTTCAGTTGTAATTAAAGTGCTCCTTTTCTTATTTTAAGTAAAATAAAATTAATCAGTCACTGGCAACAATCATTATTAAGAGGTCTTTTAGGGCAAAATTTAATAGTATGAAGAGGTTTACAAAAATAGATTGACGTTATTTTGAGAAATACTGTAATTTTTTCTCAATTCAGTTTTGATAAATTGTACCTAATCATAGAAAAATTATTCCAATTCAAACTTGACATATATTAAAAAAGTAGAGATGAAATTAACTCAGCTACGTAACAGATCTGGCAAAATATAAGAATGAAAAAAATTCTACACAGGGCACTTATTTCATATCCAGAGGTAAAAACATTTTCTATTAGTAGCTTATCTTCTTCCTGTAAGCAATCACAGATTCTAAGTTGATCATGCGGTACAAAGTCACAGCAGTCAGAATCTTCTGTTTGATGCAACACACAAAGTTGTTTGTTTCCTTACTAAAATGCGAACTGGTTGTCTATTTTTCTTTATCCCATTTATTCGTATTCACAAATTAACAAATAGCGTCAACAATTATTGTAGGTGAAGTGGGGTATTGCTGGATCAAAGGCTCTATAAGACGTCTTTACTGACTGAATCTGAAGGTTTATTGAGTTCAATCCTCACACCTTTTTCACCTGTTAGATATTTTACTTTAGCTCGTGCTCTCTCATCTGCATCAAATACCAAACAGTTATTGCGTACTTTGTAGCATATGCTGGTTGTACTTCATGAGGGTTGCGATGGTCAGACCAGAAAAACAGCAGTCTATCAAATTTGGGTTCAATGTCAGCAAACTAGGCTTTACCTTCTAGAAAAATTCGAAGTATACCTCCACTTACCTTGGCATCCCGTTCTTTAACGTAATGTAATACATTTCACACGTCTTCCGTCTCCATTTGGATTATCAACATGACGTACATAACCCGTTCCATTGACCGGATAACAAGCAGCCATGGCTTTTGTCCGGCCCGGGGACGCGCGAGGCGGGGACGCGGCCGCCGCGGGGTCGGCCGCGGACTTGGCCTTTGCCTTGGCTGCGTCCCCGGAGGCGCTGTCCCGGCGCCTCGCTGCCTTCCTGGCCTCCAGGGCCCGGTCCCTGGACGGCGGCGCTGCAGCGGGCGGCGCGGGGCCGGAGTCCTGGTGAGGGCCCCCTCCGTGGCCGAGGGCGCCCTCGCTGCCCTGGCACACGAGCTTGTGCTTCTTCCAGTCCTGGCGCTGGCGCTCCTTGCAGCAGAAGGAGCTGCGGCTGCAGCGCAGCAGGTTCTCCATCTTCCCGCACAGCTCGCAGTACTGCCGGTCTCGCTCGCTCGAGCTCGGCTCGCCGGGCCCGCAGCTGTCATTGGCCATGGCGACCGCAGCTGAGCAGGAGGGGTGCGGCCGGACGGCCTCGCCCGAGGCTGGGGAGCGGAGAGAGAGATAGGGGCCGTCACTGCGCCATGCACCCGCTACCCTTGACTCAAGGAGGCTGGCACCCAGGGCCCTCGGCCGGGTCGCTTCCGAGTCCTAGGCTCCGGCGCAGCGCAGGCGGCCGCCTCAGCGCCTAATCGCCGCCGTGGGCTGAGAGAACGCGGCCTGTGCGGCGAACGGCAACCCGGGCTCGGGCGCGCGAGCCTGCGGAGCGCAAGACCGGCCCCCTCGGCTGCCGCCACCGCCTCAGCGTCCCGGGCGGCCCGGCCCAGGCTGCGGAGGAGCGCAGGGTAAGCGGGTGCCGCTCGCTCTGCGCATTCTGCACGTACACCACGGTACGGCGGCGACCCGGCCGTGCGGCGCGCGTGGGCCCACACTGCGATTTCTTATCACTCTTGCGGACGGGCTAGAGTTCGTTCTATTTTGGGGCTGTGCTTCAACTGTTCCTCTGGTTCTGCTGTGAACTTCACCATTGCCTGGAACAGACAGATTCTGTCTGTGCTTGCTTCGGATGGATGTTTAGAGAACTCAGTACTGATCCTGAGGGCTCCTTCTTTGAGAGCACATCCTGTCCCTCTTCAAGGACTGGAAGTGGTCAAAATTCTGTAGGGACTAAAACTTAAACATCCCAAACATAAAAAAGCAGAGGAAAGGTTGGGTGCAGTGGCTCACGCCTGTAATCCCAACACTTTGGGAGGCCGAGGTGGGTGGATCACAAGGTCAGGAGTTCGAGGCCAGCCTGGCCAATATGGTGAAACCCAGTCTCTACTAAAAATACAAAAATTAGCCGGGCGTGGTGGTGGGCGCCTGTAGTCCCAGCTACTAGGGAGGCTGAGGCAGGAGACTCGCTTGAACCCGGTTGGCGGAGGTTGCAATGACCCGAGATGGCACCACTGCACTCCAGCCTGGGTGACAGAGCGAGACTCCCTTTCCAAAAAAAAAAAAAAAAAAAAAAAAGCAGAGGAAAAAGCCAGTCTTATGCAAAAGCCTGCAACAGCAGTAAAGACGGCAGACATGTGGAAGGCTTTATGGAGATAAGGCCATGGACCACTGCATCCTGGCCACCCAGCTCTCTGGGGACTGCTCCTACCTGCCTTGCCAAACCCTAGGCAAAAAGACATAGGATAATTCAGGTGTTTTGCAATAGGCTCAATAATGTCGACAAAGACCACCGAAGCCGCTTGCCTCTGGCTGGCTGCTACAGAGTGAGAGCTGTTCTCCAAAAAGACATCCCTGTCACATGTGCTCCTCCCTGATCACAGTGAGGCTCATACCATTTTAAGCAATTTTCTTATTTAATGGCAGGGACGGACACTCAGAGCAGCCAATGTTGTGCATTCTCTGAAGAGTCAGCCTGAACTTGGAAGGAAAGTTGCAGATACCATGACCACGAAATAAGCAAATTCCAGTTTAACATCAATAGTGAAGTATGCCCACACTGCTAGTAACCCAAGGCAGCTCTGTCTCTCACATACCTCTATTTTAACTGTTCGGAACTATGTTTTTATAGCTCACCTCCAGCCTCTGTCTTCCAGGTTCTTTCTGCAAGTCTTCCACCAGGGCCACTGCCTCCTCTCCACTCTCCGGATGCTGCTGTCTGACCCAGATCTGGATCTCCTGGAGAAGGACAGTCGGGAACTGTTCTAGGACCAGCAACTCCAGGATCTGCTCTTTTGTACACTTCTCTGGCCTTAGCCACTGACAACAGAGCTTCTGGAGCTGGAGGAGGGCCTCTCGGGGTCGTGATGCTTCTTGGTAACGGAAATGCCAAAAGCTCTGGCAGGATGTCTCTGGTCCAGGGTAATTCCCTTGAAGGGAAATTTCCTGCTCCCAGTGGGAATCTTCTTCCAGTTTAACTATTTGGAGATCTTGTACTGAAGGAGTCTGGATTTGTTGGTCCACAGCTACAGCCATTGTTCAGGTCAGAGAAGAGCTTTGCAACCGCACTCTAAAGCTCAAACCTCTTCATCACCTCACTGGGAAGCCATCTTAGAACTTCCACTTAGGAGTCACTAAGTGGAACTTCTCTTGAAATTCTAGAGTCAGAGACATACATTACAAAGTTAACTCTAGTAAAAATCGCAAGTGTTAGCCCAGCAGGCTTGAGGTGAAGAAGAGAGCCTTCCTGTCCCAGCCCTGTTGCATGCCCTGGTGCCTGTGGAGTCACTGGTGGGGTGGCAGTTCCGGAAGTTTGATAAGAGGAGTCAAGGGCTAGTGACCTGGTTGAAAAGTAGAGGAGCTTGAAGCTGAGAGAATACGGACGATTCGGCCCCGTGACATGTTCTTAGCGGGGACGCAAGAAGCCCGAGCCCAGGTCCCAAACACGGCTATTCGGCTAGCCACTGAGCACCGGAAGCGGAAAACCTAGCCCCAGAAGGACTCCGTGTTCTCCGGAACTACATTTCCCAGAGGCCGCCGCCCGAAGACAGACAGCAGCGTTAGCCCATAAAATGGGAGAATATCTCAGGCGCCTATTCGTTTCAGACGAATCATTGATGACTTTTCTACCAGCTGGGTAAGTGGGGCGGGGTCGCGAACCGCAGCCACAACTCGCGCACCTGGGAGGGTGTGGGTCTTGCCTCCCAGGGGAGGTGGAGATCTCTCGCCCTGCGCGGCCCTGGTGGTATGAGCGAGAGGGGTCTTTACAAAAATTTTTTGTTTTGTTTTGTTTTTTATTTTTTATTTATTTATTTATTTTGAAGCGGAGTCTCGCTCTGTCGCCCAGGCTGGAGTGCAGTGGCGCGATCTCGGCTCACTGCAACTTCCGCCTCCCGGGTGCGAGCAGTTCTCTGCCTCAGCCTCCCGAGTAGCTGGGATTACAAGGCACCCACCACCACTCCCGGCTGATTTTTTTTTTTTTTTTTGTATTTTTAGTAGCGACGGCGTTTCACCATTTTGGCCAGGCTGGTCTTGAGCTCCTGACCTCATGATCCACCTGCCTTGGCCTCCCAAAGTGCTGGGATTACAGGCGCGAGCCACCGCGCCCGGCCTTTGTTTTGTTTTTAATAGAGACGAGGTCTAACTATGTTGCCCAGGCTGGTTTTGAACTCGTGGGCCTCTCAAAGTGCTGGGATTATAGGCATGAGCTGCCACGCCAGTTTATAAAGTATTTTCACTTAGGGCCGAGGGCAGCTGTTTAACCCTGTTAGTCCCTATTTATCCTTACTATGCAGATGAATATATCGAGACAGCTTGGGACTGAGGTCTCTGCCCTTACGAAGCTGGGACTCCAGTTAAGGTTTTCTGCCACTTAAAGTGCTTTTCTCTGGCATGGTTGGTAGCTGTGGTAATGCTTTACCACTCTGTTCCTCCCCCCCTCACTTACCACTCACACAATTCCTCATTTCCTGCTTGCACAGTCCTGGGTCATTCGAGATTAATACCATTGACTTTCATTCAACAGTTGGGGAGCAATTCGGGCCAAGCACCAGGCAGCGAGTGTGCTGTGGTGGGAGAAAAAAAAAGGAGACACTCCTTCCTCTTAAGGAATGCAATGCAGCGGAGGGTGCATTTTCTAAAACGCTGCCACGGAGTTATGTGCAACCCAAATAACTACAATGCAGTGCTATTAAATGCTTTGCGAAATGCTACGTGCTAAATGGAGGTGTGTTCAAAGGAAATGACTTGATAGAAATACCAGGGACGGACCGGTGCAGTGGCTCACGCCTGTAATCCCAGCACTTTGGGATGCCAAGGCGGGCCGGTCACTTGAGGTCAGGAGTTCGAGACCAGCCTGGCCAACATGGTGAAACCCCAAATCTAGTAAAAATACAAAAAAATTAGCTTGGTGTGGTGGTAATCCCAGCTACTCAGGAGGCTGAAGCAGGAGAATCGCTTGAACCGGGGAGGCAGAGATTGTAGTGAGCTGAAATCATGCCACTGAACTCCAGCCTGGGTGACAGAGGGAGACTGTTTCAAAAAAAAAAAAAAAAAAAAACCAAGGAAGGGCTGGGAGAGCCCAGAATCGTGCAGCCTCAGGGAAAGGACCTACTTTACACATTTTATCTGGTTTGGTTCTGAGAAGGAAACCTGGAACCCTGCATTGTAGGTTTCACTTCTTATTTAACAGATGAAAGGTTCAAATTCAATGAAGGTGGGGAGAGCTGTGCTTGCCCCCACAGTAGGAGCAGCCTGTGGTTAGGTGAGGGAAGGACAGGATAACAGAAAGGGCTTTCTAGAGAATCAGTTGCGAAGCAGGGCCATGGAAATTCCTTCTATCCCTCTTAACTTAGTGTCAACAAAAAGTCTCAGTGCAGACAAACCCACTGAACTTAATTTGGGAGAAAAAGCCATGGAGAAGACCCTTTAGAATGCACTTCCAAACTAGAAACCAAACGGGGTGCCTGCAAGGGGGTCGTTCTCCTTGTCTTTAGAAAAAGGGAATCGAGAAGAACCTTTAGAATGAACCTCCGAACTACAATTAGGATCCTAAACAACCTCTTCCTAGGAGAAAAAAAAAAAAAAGCAACAGCTCACAATAAACCAAGGACCATCAACCAAACGAGAGGTCCAGGGCTCAGGAGGACTTACTAGGAGGAGAAGCTGAAAGTCGGTGAGGCCTTTATTTATTTATTTATTTATTTATTTATTTATTTATTTATTTTTGAGACAGGGTCTCTCTCTGTTGCCCGGCTGGATTCTGGGCCTGATCATCGCTCACTGCAGCCCTGGCCTCCCTGAACTCAGGCAATCTTCCTGCCTCAACCTCCGAAGAGCTGGGACTATAGGCCCGCACCACCATGCCAGGCTAATTTTTGTACGTTTTGTAGAGATGAGGTTTGGCCATGTTGCCAAGGCTGGTCTTGAACTCCTGGGCTCAAGTAATCTGCAGGGGGGGCTTTCAAGGACCCCTACTGGTACCGTAGCTCCAAATTCAGGCAACTACTTCAGGGTTCTCAGTCCTCTCTGAGGCCCCATGTGTTCAGATGCCAAATTATTGTCAATGAAGAGAGAAGACTAAACATTGTAGCTAATATATCTTTTTTTTTTTTTTTTGAGATGGAGTCTTTGCTCTGTTGCCCGGGCTGGAGTGCAGTGGCACCATCTCAGGTCACTACAACCTCTGCCTCCCGAGTTCAAGTGATCCTCCTGCCTCAGCTTCCTGAGTAGCTGGGACTACAGGTGCACACCACCATGCTCAGCTATTTTTTTGTATTTTTAGTAGAGATGGGGTTTCCCTATGTTGGTCAGGCTGCTCTCAAACTCCTCACCTCAAGTGACCCACCCACTTTGGCCTCCCAAAGTTCTGAGATTACAGGAGTGAGCCCACCGTGCCTGGCCACTAATGTATCATTTTTATCTTAATGTTTTGTTCTTTTATCCATTTGTTCCTATTAGGTATTTCTCATGGCTTTAACAGTGGACTTCAGGAGTCATGGTTAAGTAACAGGTGTGGGGCAGGTAACTGACCAAACCTCTCCTCTGAGCCTCCATTTTCTTACCTGTAGAGTGAGGATACTTACCTCCCTCCTAGGGCTGTCAGGATTAAATGAGATGGCAGGTAAAGACCTTAGCACAGTGCCTGGCGCATGGTAACTGCTCTGTCCATTTTGTCACTATAAGCTCTTCTGGTTTATTGTAAAGTATATAATGCAACCCAAGTGAAGCAAAATTCCATGAATAAAAAAAGTCATCTCATTATAGCTTGCCTCAAATTATAAAATCTCTAATAAAAATGAAGGTATGTAGTTAGTGGCAGAAGTTTGTCTACAACTAGATCTGTCCAGTGCTCAATACTCTCTACTATGTCACAAACTTCAGGACAGGGTTAAGAGGGAGACAAGGTACTGCCTGGAAGGGGAATACCTTCTGGGGTCCTGGTAAGCGATTTTTTTTTTTTTTTTTTTTTGAGATAGAGTCTTGTTCTGTTGTCCAGGCTGGAGTACAGTGGCGCCATCTCAGCTCACTGCAAGCTCCACCTCCTGGGTTCAAGTGATTGTCTTGCCTCAGCCTCTTGAGTAGCTGAGACAACAGGTAGGCGCCACCACACCTGGCTAATTTTTTTATTTTTAGTAGAGGTGGGGTTTCACCATGTTGGCCAGGCTGGTCTTGAACTTCTGACCTCAAGTGATCCACCCACCTCGGCCTCCCAAAGAGTTAGGATTATAGGCAGGAGCGCCTGGCCCTGGTAAGTAGTTTCTTGATCTGGGTGCTGGTTACACAAGTGTGTGCAGTTTGTAAAAACTCAATGAGCTGTACATTTGTGTACACTTGTCTGCTATATATTAATAACAATTTATGTATTTATTTTTGAGACCAAGTCTTGCTCTGTCACCCAGGCTGGAGTGCAGTGGTGCGATCTTGGCTCACTGCAACCTCGACCTCCCGGATTCAAGTGATTCTCTTGCCTCAGCCTCCCAAGTATCTGGGACTACAGGTGCCCGCCACCATGCCCAGCTAATTTTTGTATTTTTAGTAGAGATGGGGTTTCACTGTGTTGGCCAGGCTGCTCTCGAACTCCCGACCTCAAATGATCTGCCCACCTTGGCCTCCTAAAGTGCTGGGTTTACAGGTGTGAGCCGCCATGCCCGGCCCAATAACAATTTAAAACAAAGGGAACTGTCTCTGGATATAGTTATATAGATTCACTGTATTAAAGGATAAGAGTAAGATAAAGTCTCTGAGGGTTCACCGCTTGTCCAAACAGAAAAAACAGAAAAAAAAAATTGTGAGCCGAGTGGTGGCTCATGCCTGTTATCCCAGCACTTTGGGAGGCCAAGGTGAGAGGATCGCTTGAGCCCAGAAGTTTGAGACAAGCCTGAGCAACACAGTAAGAGACCCTGTCTCTATTAAAAAAAAAAAAAAAAAAAAAGACCGGGTGCAGTGGCTCACACCTGTGATCTCAGCACTTTGGGAGTCTGAGGCGAGTGGATTGCCTGAGCCCAGGAGTTCAAGACCAGCCTGGGCAACATAGTGAGATCCTGTCTCTATTAAAAAAAATAAATTGTGTACTACAGATTTGGCTACAATATGCATGGTTTTCCATGGGCTTTTGATTATCTGTGACATTTCAAAACTATAAGTTGTTTCATTAGAATATTGGTGGGTTGGTTTTTACAAATGTCTTCATCTGTGTGCATAACTTACATAGGTAAATACTAAGAGGGCACTGAAGTAAAAACTAACATTTATCATCTGACCAAGGAACGCGCAGGAAACCTAATCCACTATCCAGGCCAGAATCATGGGCTTCATCTGTCTCTTGCATTTCTTTTTTTTTTAGACAGAGTTTCGCTCTTGTTGCCCAGGCTGGAGTGCAATGGCAGCGTGATCTTGGCTCACTGCAACCTCTGCCTCCTGGGTTTGAGCAATTCTCCTGCCTCAGCCTCTCGAGTAGCTGGGATTACAGGCATGTGCCACCATGCCTAGCTAATTTTGTATTTTTAGTAGAGACGGGGTTTTGTCATGTTGGCCAGGCTGGTCTTGAACTCCTGACCTCAGCTGATCCGCCTGCTTTGGCCTCCCAAAATGCTGGGATTACAGGTGTGAGCCACCACGCCCAGACTGCTTCTTGCATTTCTATGAAGAGAACCAACTGGCAAATATTTCCTGAGTTCCCATCACAAGCACTGAGCTGGGTACTAGAGCTGGAGGTTCCTGGAGCTGGGAACCTCAGGATGGGTATGAACATAAAAAATGGAAGGGAGGGAGGGGGCAGGATGAAGTAGGGAGGACGTGTAACAGATCAACGTAACGAGAGTCATGGCACTGAGCTGGAGAGTGCAAGGGCCCACAGGCAGGGTCAAGTCTGCCAGGGAAGTGCAGGGAGGAGGCCTCCTGGAGGAGGTGGTGCCCAAGCTGCATCTTCAAAAATGGGCAGGCGGGCCCCGGCAAACAGGGAGGCCCGGCGTTCCAGAAAAGGGAGCAGGGTGAACAGGGGCACTGAGGCAAGGCTCAGCTGTGCATAGTGATCGGGAGCTGGCTGGGGATAAGAATGGTCAAGGGCACAGAGGTGTGATGACCAGGGCAAGGCAAGGAATGAATGTGATGAGTTTCCACAGAGGTTCCCTATGGGAAGGCCTCATCTGCTGTTGAGCAGTATGGCCTTTCTGTAGGTGATGGGGAGCCCCTCAGGGCTTAAGCTAGGTGGTAGCCGGCTCAGTTCTGCTGTGAAAGAATGCTCACTCTAGCTGCAACATGGAGAGGCAGGCATAGGGAGGTGGAGGTTACAATGAAGCTGAAAGACAGGAGGATCGCTTGAACCCAGGAGGCGGAGGTCGCAGTGACCTGAGATGGTGCCACTACACTCCAGCCTGGGCAACAGAGCACCAGCTCAAAAAAAAAAAAAAAGAAAGATATATTAGCTACAATGTTTAGTCTTCTCTCTAGCTAGTGTCAGGACAATCCACAACTGTAACTGGTCATTCCTTACATGTGACTTGTGATTGTCCTTCCTGGCCCTTTATCCCTGAAGGGTGTCCTGTCTCATAACCAGAAAGTTCAGCAGGGGCCCCATGTCCTGGGTTTGCTGTACCCATAGTCTCCATAGTCTCTCACAGATGGCCTTGGAGATTACCAAATGGAGGGCGGTTCTAGCCTCCCTGCTCCCTGGCCCAGTTAAGCTATTTCAGATCTTTGGACAAAATCTCACTTTTGTCCTTTTTCCTTTTTCACCCTCTTGATAAAATATCCCACAGCCATATGGGAAATGGAAGTAGAATTGCCGGGAAGCAACCAGGAAGGAAGTAGTGGTGGCGCATGCCTGTAATCCCAGATACTCAAGAGGCTGAGGCAGGAAACGGAAGTAAAATTGCCGGGAAGCAACCAGGAAGGGCTGTGGCAGCTGCCAGGCAAAGGTCTGAACTCTGCCAGGGGCTTTGAGGCTGGGAATGCTGAGTAGGGAGGCAGAATGTGCACGCTGTGGTTCCCGAATGAATGGCTCTGAGGGAGGAAGGCATCTTGGATGATCCCAGGTTTTGGGATTGGGTGAGGCAGGATAGGTGGCGGTGCTACTCACAAAGAGGAAAGGCAAGGAGAGGCAGTCAGGGGACATGCTGAGTTTGAGATTCCAGGAACAACTTCAGCAGGTGAGTAGGTGGCAGGAAGAAGCCAAGAGAGACTTGAAATCAAGACAGGAAAGAGCTGATGGGGCAAGGTCCTGATCCTGGAGAAGTGGAGGGGAAGCTCCGGGTGGAGGTTACTATGAAGCTGAAAGCATAGCTCCAGGCTGAGCGTAGAGGTGAGAGGCTGAGGGAGCGCAGAGAGTTTGTTGGCCTGGAGGTGGGAAACAGCGGGAGTTCACACCTGACGGGTTCAGGGTTCTCAGATGTGAGCTGAGCCTGGGAGCTGACATTCTGAGAATGGCCAAAGGGTACACAGCCATTGTGGGGACTGGGAAAGGGAAGTGACGAAAGTCAGGTAAAAGACTTGCAGAGGTGGACCAGAGGGCCACGTTGAGGGTGAAGCAATTGTGTTTTTGGTTATGTTTTGCTTTTTTTTTTTTTCTCTTTTTCTTTTCCTTTTGAAGACAGAATCTTGCTCTCTCACCCAGGTTGGAGTGCAGCGGGGCGACCTCGGCTCACTGCAACCCCTGCCTCCCGGGTTCAAGCGATTCTCCTGTCTCAGCCTCCAGAGTAGCTGGAACTACAGGCGCCTGCCACCACGCCCAGCTACTTTTTGTATTTTTTGTAGAGATGAGGTTTTGCCATGTTGCCCAGGGAGGTCTCGAACTCCTGAGCTCAGGCAAGCCACCCACCTCGGCCTCCCAAAGTGTTGGGATTGCAGGTGTGAGCCACTGTGCCAGCTCTTTTTACCATTTATTGTAGACTTTTTTTTTTTTGAGATGGAGTCTTGCTCTGTCACCCAGGCTGCAGTGCAGTGGTGCGATCTCGGCTCACTGCAAGCTCCGCCTCCTGGGTTCATGCCATTCTCCTGCCTGAGCCTCCCAAGTAGCTGGGACTACAGGTGCCCGCCACCACACCCGGCTAATTTTTTGTATTTTTAGTAGACGGGGTTTCACCGTGTTAGCCAGGATGGTCTCGATCTCCTGACCTCGTGATCCACCCGCCTCAGCCTCCCAAAGTGTTGGGATTACAGGTGTGAGCCACCACGCCCAGCCTAGTTCAGGTTTTTAACACAGTAAAAGACAGACTCAGGAAAAGAATGGAACTCTACTTTATTAAGGAATACTGAGCATCCATCCTATAAGAACTAAGCCCATTCTGAGCACAGGCCCCATGTGTAGGAGGAGGCAGTTTCCCATTTCCTGGAAATGCCTTATCTCCTCTTCCTTCACAGCAAACCCCTTCACCTGCCGTCATGCCCGTCTTCACTCTCCAGGTGCGAGGATCCCGAGAACAAAGCCCTGGTAGCATCCTGAGATCAAGGGCGACACCTGTAGGACAAACTCCTGATTCAAGCCCAAATATCTCCAGGGAACAGATATGTCCTCAAAGTTAACACTTCTTTAAAAATAATGTTCTTGGCCGGGTGCGCTGGCTCACGCCTGTAATCCCAGCACTTCGGGAGGCCAAGGCGGGCAGATCACGAGGACAGGAGATCGAAACCATCCTGGCTAACGCGGTGAAACCCCGTCTCTACTAAAAATACAAAAAAAGAAATTAGCTGGGTGTGGTGGTGGGCACCTGTAGTCCCAGCTACTCGGGAGGCTGAGGCAGGAGAATGGCGTGAACCCGGGAGGCGGAGCTTGCAGTGAGCTGAGATGGCACCACTGCACTCCAGCCTGGGTGACAGAGTGAGACTCCGTCTCAAAAATAAT